>NW_019805488.1:0-164041 GCF_000001405.40 Homo sapiens | reverse complement strand
ATTTAGGTTGCAGCATTTGCAGCTGTGTTGACTATACTTCTTAACCTTGGCTGCTTTTAAAACGTTTACCTTACCAATGGGGAAAATAGAGAAAGTCAATATTTTCCAAATGTGCTGCTTTAATAATTAGGGGGAAAACATCTATTACATGAACACTTACTTGGAAGGATTTTAAGTGTGTTTAATATAGCCATCAAAGAAAACTGAAAAATATCAAAAATTATTTAAGAAAAGCAAACTTGGTACTTAGAGAAATAAAACAATTTTGCCAATATCATAATTTCCAGGCCAGTTGATTCCTAGAACCATTTAATGAAGTCAGACATTACAGCAATTACAGAGGGTTATATAATTAAAAGACTCAAGAGATGCCACAGAGCACACAAACATAAAGCTTTAATAAAGACTAATAATTCAATTTAGCCAGAAAAATAAAATATCAGGCAGATTATAGGCATGCAGGCATAGCTTCCAGGGTCCTATCTCTGTCACATGGGATAAGCGCTATCTCTGGATCACAAACCATCAAGATAAGTGTGATTGCCTCTGTCTCAAGGATACCCAGTCTTGTGTTTACTAAGAGTCATTGATGCAGATACAACACTAACAACTTAGTCAAACTAGGCTGTGTAACCAGATGCACCAGGTTTAGACCACCAATCTACATATTTACGATAATTTTGACCAGCTGGTACAAGATACCTCCAGGGGAGTTTTGATCTTAGCACATTACCAATCATGAGCTAGAATATTTCATTCCTATCTTGTCCAAGAGTCAATACCATAGTTCCAGACATTTTTAGGGATAAGCACGGAGCTACCACAGGTGATTTACATATACATGATGAATCAGAAACTTCAATTTACCAAGTGGATGTGTGTGTGTTTCATTTTGTTTTTCTGTGTGAAGTTAGAATGTTGCAATACTAAACTAAGGGAAGATAAACATTTGCAAAATGCAGTCAAAGATACACAGGAAGAAGGAAAGGAGGTGATGATACACATACAAAACTTTCCTTTACCTTAAATAGAATATACTGTATTAGTTTTAAAAATGTTTTGCCATGTTCTATTTATATAAAAATATATTCTAAAGAAGTAGCCAAGAAATGGTTGCTGAGAAAAAAAAAAAAAAAACAGCAAGAGTTAATGTTCTTACAGAAATGCAATGGCAGTTCTAAGGTGTGACAATGGAAAAGGAAAATGTCCAAATCATTTTCAGACCATACTATCTCTGGCTAAAAAAAAGTCTTAGGAATTTGAGGAACAGAATAATTGCTATAATTTTCACCTGTGGAGTTTCAAATAAGGGATATTCAAAAAGCTTCATTTATTTCATTATTTGAAGTGAATAATTATTTAATAATTGCAAATATTAAATACTGAATGATACTAACAAAAGTTTTCAACTAGTTTGAAAACTTAAAAGACCTGAAACATTAACAGGAATTTACCAGCCTCAAAGTCAATCGTTAGAGATGGATTGCTTTACTCTATTAATTTTGAGAAAGCACATTTAGAATACTAAACATTAAATGTTCATTGGTTTTTGTTTTCTTCAAATTTTGTTTTAATTGTATAATAATTTTTGTTACAATTGACTTGTGGTCATTTTCTAATGATAACATTTTACATCATCTGAAAATTTTAATTTGAGCATTGATTTAGAGAGATGGACACTGTGCTACCTCATCCAAGGCAAATAATTCATGTGAGTCCTTTGTTCATGTGAATCAGATGACTCAGAAGAGTACTCCAATCACAGGAAAGGCAAAATGTGTAAGTATTTACTTTTAATAAAAAAATACATAAATAACAATTATTTGATCAAGAAACAAAAATACATAAATAACAATTATTTGATCAAGAAGAGGTCAAAAATTAAAATGTTTAAAGTAACCACATCAATTTTTTTAAAATAACTATATTGGTTTTCTATTACTATTATGACAGATCACCACCAACTTGGCTTAAACCACACATTTTTTTTTTATTAGCTGTGTAGGTCAGAAGTCTGACATGGGTCTCACTGTTCGGCTTCCAGAAGCTGCCTGTATTCCATGGCTCATAGCCTCTCCTCTGTCTTCAAAGCCAGCAACAGTGGGTTGAGTTCTCACACCGTATCATTCTGACCTTCTGTTCTGCCTCCCTGTTTCACTTCTAAGGTCCTTGTGATTACATTGGGCCACCCCCAAAATCCCCCAAATCTCATTTTCTTAAGGTTTGATGATTAGCAACCTTAGTCTCATCTGCAGCCTTAGTTTCCCTTTTGCCATGTAAGGTAACAGAATCACAAATTTTAGGGATTTTGACATCAAAATTTTTGTGGGACCATTATTCTGCCTTCTACAGTAACTAATGTCATATCATTGCTTTGCTTTTAATGTGTAAAAATCTACAGAAATGTTTTAAATGTTTATTTTTTATTATAATTAATTTGTACCTTATTCTATTTCAACACTATGCAACATGAAGGTACACTTGCTAGTAAAGGATTATATCTTAGTGTTAATCAGGTATTTATTGTTTGTTTACTATTAAGCAGACCCTGCTCTAGGTAATGAGGACATAGCAGTAAAAAGAAAACATAAATTTCTACCATGGAGTTTATATTTTAATGGGAAAGATGAACAATAACAACATAAGTAAAATACATAATATATTACATATCTTTTAATGGAGAAAAGTAAGTATTATGTGTTTGTGGATAATGGGATGGGGATAAAAAGGGAGCATTTACTGGTCTTTCAGATGAAGGGCCAGAGAGCCCTGACAGGGTTATCTCAGCTGTTGACAGTGGTATACATCTCACTTTGGTTAAAATAACAACTGGATACAATATTGCTGAATTGGGTACCTCATCAGTGTAGCAAAGGCAGATGAAAGTTATAATTCTAAATTAGGTAATTCATGATACAGCAGAAACCAGTATCAGGCAGCCCAGCCTTTACACAATACCTAATCAATAAGCCTAGATATTGCCAGCAATCAGTGGAACTTTGAAATATGGCTCTTCTAAAATGAGACAGAGATCTTTGTAGCTCTGAAAGGCCTATTCCCGTGTTTACTGCCCCAAGCTTTATCCGCCATGTAGGATTACTTTTCCTACTAGGAAACGTAAAACTTCTAGTAAGCATTCAACTTTGGTCTCTTAGCTTTTATTTCCTCTTTACATATACAGAGGCTAATGAGAAGGTGACATTTTAGTTTAAACCTGAATCACGAAGAGTGATGTCAGCAAGATCATGAAAT
Source organism: Homo sapiens (assembly GCF_000001405.40). NCBI lineage: Eukaryota > Metazoa > Chordata > Mammalia > Primates > Hominidae > Homo > Homo sapiens. The sequence goes on along the minus strand of NW_019805488.1, from coordinate 160,789 downwards.
AGGAAGTTACTACTCATATCTCCTCACATAAGAAATCTGTGCCTATCCATGGACAAAAGTCTCTTTGTGAGAGTCATTGGTCTCAGTGGTTGTCTTAGTCCATTTCTGCATTGCTATAAAGTAATATCTGCAACCGTAGTTTCCCTTTTGCCATGTAAGGTGACAGAATCACAAATTTTAGGAATTTTGACATCAAAATTTTTATGGGGCCATTATATTTACGGGGCTGGATAATTTATAAAGAAAAAAGGTTTCTTTGACTCACAGTTCTGCAGACTGTACAAGATCCATGGTGCCAGTTTGGCTTCTGGCGAGAATCTCATGCTTCATCTACTCAAGGTGGAAGGCAAGGGGGAACCAGCATGCAGAGATCACATGGCATGATTGAAAACAAGAGGGGACGGGGCAGTACCAGACTCTTTTTAACAACCAGCTTTTGCAGGAACAAATACAGCGAGAACTCACTCATTATCACAAGAATGGCATCAAGCCACTCATGAGGGATTTGTCCCCACAGCACAAACACTTCCCATCAGGACTCAACTCCAACAGTGGGGATCAAATTTCAACATGAGATTTGGTGGGGCCAAACAAACCATATCCAAACCATAGCAGTAGTGGAGTCAAAAGTTGTCCGTAACTCAATTCCAGGCCCCTCAGCTGTTGTCCCAGCTGAGTACTGCCCCAACAAGGACCCAGAGGGAGACTTACCCATCTGAGCCACCATGACCGGCTTTTTGGCTTCATTCCCACGGTAGATCTTAAAGAGATCCTGCCTTGGTTCCAGCGCTTCTCTGCCACAAAGCCCAGGAAGTATCCTACACATGCAGAGAACTGCCTGGAGACTTATCCATCTGAGGCTCAACTACCCTTTGCCACAGCCAGGGAAATGTATCACCTGTGCAGGAAACTGCTGGGAGATGCACCTGTCAGAGAGTTTGCAACAGGTTTGCCCACCCCGTCCCATAGCAGATCTCAAAGGGGCTTGGTCTCAGCTCTAGCCCCTTCTGTTGAAGTCAGGGAATCTATGTAGGGAACTGCTGTGAGACATGCACACTAGCTGAGCCACTACGACAGACATGCCTGACTGTTGCACAGCAGATCTTGAAGGGGACCAGTCTCAGCTCCAGCCCGTCACTGTGGTCAGGAAACTATCCCCAAACACAGGGATATGCTGGATGACTCTCCCATACGAGCCACTGAAACAGATTTACCAGTCTTCATTACATGGCAGATCCAGGAGAAGCCAGGCCTTGCCTTCCAGCCTTTCTCTGCTGTACCAGGGATTAATTTCACTCGTGTAAAGAACTTCTGTGAGACTAGCTAATGTGAACCATAAGGACAGGATTGCCAGCCTCTGCCACAGCAGAACTGGGCAAAATTTGATAAGCCCTAGTTTGGCACACCAGGGAGTTTAATCAGCCATCCCCCCCGGCCTCAAAGCCCATCCCCACACCTGACCCAGAAAGGGAGGCAAATCTCAGTCATGCATTTCTATTGAACATAGCAGTTGCTCCATTCATACTGATACACTTAACCTCAGGGACCCTCCTGCAACACTGTGCAACTGCTGATACATATATGGCCCCTTCTGGTCAGGGAATACATGCTGCAGCCCAGGTAGATCAGAGGTGATTGCAGTGCCCATCCGGAGCTCAGCCTAATTCCAGAGCTCAGCCAGTTTTCTTGCTGGGTAGCAGAACTTAGCCAGCTGCTCCACATGAATGCAGAGCAAAGGTAGCAGCCAAGCCATCTAGAGAACCTGAAAGCAAGCTTAGCTTGGCCAGAATTAATGCCAGCTGGCCCAGCAAGAATCAATCATAGGCTAGACTAAATAGTGAAGATCTATCACTGCCAAGAAACATCTGAAAAAGCCAGAAAAGATGGTTGTTGCTGCAAACACACACACACCAATGGGAGAATACAAGGATTACAAAGACTCAGGAAATCATGGCACTTCCAATAGAAACTTCAAACAATGGACCAAAAGAAAGAACTATAAAATGACAGAAAAAGAATTTAGAATAATCCTCTTTAAAAAGTTCAGAGAACTCCATTAATATACAGATACAAAATTTTTAAAAATTTGAAAAACCATATATAAACAAAATGAGAAGTTTGACGAAGAAATAGAAATATTTTAAAAACCTCAGAAATCTTAGAGATGAAGAATGCAATTACTGAATTGAAGAAAAGAATAAATACTTTTAATAGCTAGCTCAACCAAATTGAAAAAAGAATTGGTGAAGGAAGTCAGCAAGGTTGCTGATTAGAGGTGCCTAACACCTATGTCCCTCACAACAAAAGGACCAAAACAAGCAATAAACAACCATATTTCAACTACAGTATTTAAAGGAGAGTGCTGGTGTTCAGTGGAAGAGTGGTAGAGTCACTGTAAATCAGGGAACTCAGGATTGCCACATAAAAAAATAGAACAGGCCGGGCGTGGTGGCTCACGCCTGTAATCCAAGCACTTTGGGAGGCCAAGGCTGGTGGATCGAGGTCAGGAATTCAGGACCAGCTTGAACAACATGGTGAAACCCCATCTCTACTAAAAATAAAAACTTAGCCGGCAGTGGTGGTGCACGTCTGTAATCCCAGCTACTCAGGAGGCTGAGGCAGGAGAATCGCTTGAACCCAGGAGGCAGAGGTTGCAGTGAGCCGAGATTGCACCATTGAACTCCAGCCTGGGCAACAGAACGAGACTCTGTCTCAAAAAATAAAAAAATAGAACAAAACACCCTGCCTTTGCAACCCTGTCTCCCCAGTTAGCATCAAGTTGGAACCAGGAGGGACTTCTTTTGAGAGAAAAAGTTAAGCAGGAGACCCCAGAAGGTATCATTAAAAATGCAAACACTTACAGTCTTTGCTGCTAGAGAACTCTTAAGCACTCACAGGCTCTGAGCCCAGGCTAGCGAACTGACTGAAGTTCACATGGCTGCATTACCCCCAAAAAAACCCCATATTGTGTATGTCCATGATCCAAGCAGCTACTTTAAGGTAAAATCTGGAGACCAGAGCCACTGCTCTAGGAGCCAATAGGCATTGCATGTCCTCATCCCTGAGGCTCCACTGCCACTACGCTACTCACCTGCATAATAGCACATCATTCTGCAGCTAAGCAGCTACAGCCTTTTATCCCTGGTAATAATCTCCCAGGAGGCACTCCATTGTTCTCATCTCAGTGGCTGCAATGATTTGGCTTTCTGCAGATTTGGCTACAGAAAGCTTAGGCCAAGTGGAACAGCCATAATCCTGGTACCAGACTCTAAGTGGCTCCCTGGCCCCCAAAAGAACAGGAAATCTTGCCCAGTGGGGAGGCTGCACCTGACCCTAGTGGAGCAGTCCCTGTACACCTGTGGCACCTGGAACAGCCCAGCACCCTGACCCCAGTGGGAGACCATGCCAGATCCCAAAAAAGTAGCCCCCATGAACACAAGGCACACAAAACAACCTGGTACACCCACCCTCAGCAGAGAGGTGCACCTGACCTGTTGGAGCGGCTGCACAAACTCCTGCAGTCTAGGCCACTGAGACATTCACAAGCATCACTGACATTGACTACAGCTGAAGAAACTTCATTGACTACCCTGTTGCACCTACTTAGAACCAAATCTAATGCATCAAATCCAACCAACACCCTAGGACACATTTGCAGGTGAAAAAGTTTCCCTAAATGACCATTTTCCAATATTGGAAGAGGTAATTGCTCCACAAAATACATGGGTATCAATGCAGGGACACACAAAATATGAAAAAACAAGGAAACATGATGCCAACAAGGGAGCACAATTATGTTCAGGTAATTAATCATAAAGAAGGGAAAATTTACAAATTGCCTGAAAATGACGGCAAGATAATAATCTTATGGAAATTCAGTGAGATACAAGAAAATACAAATAGACAATTCAACAAATAGAGATCATTTAAAAAGTCAAACAAAAATCTTAAAATTGAAGACTTCAATGAATGAAATAAAAAATACAACTGAGAGCTTCAGCAGCAGATAAGATCAGGAAGAAGACAGAAATTCTGAACTTAAAGACAGGTCTTTTGAAATAACCCAATCAAAGGGGAAAAAAGAATTTTAAAAAGTAAAAAAGCCTACAAGGTGTGTGCAACGCCATTAACAAACAAATTTTTGCATTGTGGGAATACCAGAGGGAGAAGAAATAAAGAAAAGTACAGAAAGCTTACTTAATGAAATAATAGATGAAAACTTCACAAGTCTTGGGAGATATAAGTACATTCAGATCTGAGAAATTCAAAGAACCTCAATTAGATTCAACCAAAAGATGTCCTCTTCAAGTCACATTATAATCAAACTGTGAAAAGTCAAAGACAAAGAGAGAATTCTAAAAGCACCAACAGTGCCTGGTCACATATAAGAAAACTATCATTAAACTATCAGCAGATTTTTTAGCAGAAATCTTTCAGGCCAGAAAAGAATGGGCTGATATATTCAAAGTGCTCAAAGAAAAAAAATAAAAAAAGAATCCACCAAGAATGCTATACCCACCAAAGCTAACCTTAAAAAATGAAGGAGTAATAAAATATTTCCCAGACAAGTAAAACCTGAGGAAATTTATCATCACAAGACCAGTCTTATAAGAAATGCTAAGGGAGTGCTTCAGCTGGAAGTAAAAGGATGTTAATTACTACCATAAACCATATAAAAGTATAAAACTCATTGGTAGAGGTAAACTCATAATCAAATTCAGACTACTGCATTATTCTAATGGTGGTATATAATCTTTCAAATGTGTAGTGTGAAAGTTAAAAATCAAAGTGGACAATGCTAACAATAACTACAATATGTTGTTAAGGAATATACAATATAAAATATGTAAAGTAAGGCAAAAAAATTCAAATTGTATGAGGGCTAGGGTAGAAGTCTAGAATGTTTGTCAATGACCAGTGTTAAGTTGCTATCAACGAAAATACATTTTTATAGCCATAATATTTAATGTAAGCCCCAGAGCAACCACACATGTGCACACACTAAAAAATTACAGCAGATACACAAATGAAAATGAATCAAATGTCATTACTACAGAAAACTGTCAAGCTACAAAGGTAAACAAGAAAAATGAAAGAAAAGAAGATATACAAAAGGTCTATGAGACATAAAGTTGTTTTTTAAAAAACATAAACAAAATAGGCAAACTTTTGGCAAGACCAAGAAGAAAAGAGAAAGATTAAAATAAGCAAAATTATAGATGGAGAAGGAAATGTTACATTGACATCACAGAAATATAAAGGATCATAAAAGAATAGAATGAACAACTATACACCAATAAAGAGCCAAACTTAGAAAAAATAAATAAATTCCTGGACACGTAAAACCTACCAAAATTAAGTCTTTAATAAATAGAAAATATGAATAGATCAATAATGAGTAATGACATCTAATCAGTAATAAAAAATCTCCTATCAAAGAAAAGTCCAGGACCTCAAGGGCTTTTCTTCACCTTACTGCTAAATTTCACCAAACATTTAAAGAACTTATAACAATACTTTGATAATTATTCCAAAAAATTGAAGAGAAAGGAATTCTTCTAAACTCATTCTGCTAAGCCAACATCACCCTGATACCAAAACCAGACAAGGACACAACAAAAACAGAAAACCACAGACCTCAACAAAATACTAGCAAACCAAATTCAGCAATACATATAAAAGATAATTTACCATGATCCAGCAGGATTTATCGCAGGGACACAAAGATGATTCAATTTTATATACGCAAATCAATAAACATGACATATCACATAAACAGAATCAAGGACAAAAACTGTGTGATCACTTCAATAAACACAGAAAAAGGATTTTATAAATCTTTTATGATAAAAAATCTCAACAGATTAGGTATAAAAGGAACATACCTCGGCCGGGCGCAGTGGCTCACACCTGTAATCCCAGCACTTTGGGAGGCCGAGGCGGGCGGATCACGAGGTCAGGAGATCGAGACCATCCTGGCTAATATGGTGAAACCCTCGTCTCTACTAAAAAATAGAAAAAATTAGCTGGGCATGGTGGCCGGCCCCTGTAGTCCCAGCTACTTGGGAGGCTGAGGCAGGAGAATGGCGTGAACCCGGGAGGCGGAGCTTGCAATGAGCTGAGATCACGCTACTGCACTCCAGCCTGGGCGACAGAGCGAGACTCCGTCTCAAAAAAAAAAAAAACAAAAAAAAGGAACATACCTCAATACAATAAAGGCCATATATGGCAAAGCCATATATAATATCATACTAGATAAGGAGGAGTTGAAAACATTTCTGCTAAGATCTGGACAAGACAAGGATTCCCACTTCACCAGCCCCCCAACACACACACCCTCCTATTCATTATAGCACTGGAAGTTCTAGACAAAGTAATTAGGAAAGGGAAAGAAATAAAGGCATCCAAATTGGAAAGGAGAAAGTCAAATTTTCCTTGTTTGCAGATAGCATGATATTGTATTCATATGTAGAAAATTCTAAAGACCCCACTAAAAAACTGTTAGAACTAACAAATAAATTTAGTGTAGTTTTAGGGTACAAAATCAACATAAAAATCAGTGTCATTTCTATATATCAATAGCAACCTATCTGAAAAAGAAATCAAGAAAGCAATCCAATTTACGATAGCAACAAACAAAATTTAAAAACCTAATAAATTTAACTGAGAAGGAAAAAAAAATTTACAATAAAAATTATAAAACATTGATAAAATAAGTTGAAAAAGACAAAACTAAAAGGATAATCTGTGTTCATGAATTGGAAGAATTAATATTGCTAAAATATATACTAAAGCAATTTATAGATTCATGGTAATCCCTATCAAAGTACCAATAACACTGTTCTCAAATATAAAATAATAAAGAAAATCAATGTGTGGAATTACAAAAGACCCTGAATAGCCAAAGCCATCTTGAGCAAAAAGAACAAAGCTGGGACATCATACTATCTGACTTCAAAACATACGGCAAAGCTACAGCTAAAGCTATAGCTACCAAACAACATGGTATTGGCATAAAAATAGACACATAGACAAATGGAACAGATAGACAACACAGAAATAAATCCACACAGTTATAGCCAACTGATTTTGACAAATGCCCCAACAACATATGTTAAGGAAAGAACAGTCTCTTCAATAAATGATGGCAAGAAGCTTGATATCCCCATGCAGAATGAAGCTAGGTTCCTATCTCTCAGTGTATTAAAAAATCAACTCAAAATGGAGTAAAGACTTAAATGTAAGATTTGAAACTATAAAACTACTAAAAGAAAACATAGGGTAAAATCTTCATTACATTGTTCTGGGCAAGGATTTTTTAAGATAAGAAAACAAAAGCATAAGCAACTAAGGCAAAATAGACAAGTGGGATTATATCAAACTAAATAGCTTTTGCACAATAAAGGAATAAACAGTAAAGAGACAACCTATAGAATGGGAGAAAATATGAGCAAACTATGCATCTGACAAGCAGTTCATGTCCAGAATATATGAGAGACTCAAACAACTTAATAGCCCAAAACCAAATAATCCAATTAGAACATAAACAAAAGTCCTGAATGGACATTTCTCAAAAGAAAACATACAAATGGCCAACAGGTATATGAAAAAAGGATCAACATTGCTAATCATCACAGAAATGCAAATCAAAACCACAATGAGATATTACCTCACCCCAATTACAATGGGTACCATCAAAAAGACAAGGAAAAAAAAGGCTGATTTACATTTACAGATATTGGAACCTTTATACATTGTTGGTGGGAATGTAAACTAATACCAGCATTATAGAAAAGGTATGGAGGTTTCTCAAAAAATAAAAGTAGAACTACCAAATGATCCGGCAATCTCACTAGGGGATATTCATACAAAAGTAAGAAAATCAGTATGTTGAAGGGCTATCTGGACTCCCATGTTTATGGCAGTACTATTCACAACAGCCAAGATACAGGATCAACCTATAGGTTCATCAATGGATAAATCAATAAAGAAAATATTGTATGTATATACAATAAAATACTATTTAGCCATAAAAAATAAAATCATGTTGATAGCGACAGGAGACAGACAAATTCCTAGGCAGACAGGGATGGGTCCCTGGTGAAGCTCGACCTTCAGGCCAAGGACAGTCGAAAGCCTGAAAACCAAGCTGCAAGTTTTGGATAGAATCCACGACTGGAGTGAGAACTTCCAACCCCGTCTCACCAACTTTCTCTCTATTGGTTCCTTGTGAATCATGCCTTTTAACCAATCAAATGGTACCTTTTCCAAGCCCACCCATAGACCAATCAGAACACATTCCCCTATTCTAAGCCCATGAAAACACTGGACTCAGCCTCACAGATGGGAATACAATTTCAAACCCTGTCTTGCTGCTGAGAGCTTTCCTTCTGTCTCTCAATAAAATTCTACTCTGCCTTACTCACTCTCTGGTGTCCAAGTACCTTATTCCTCTTGGTTGCGTGACAAGAACCTAGAACTCGCCAAACTGTGGGAGTGAAAGAACTGTAACACTCCCGCTTGCCAAGCTGCGGGTGGTGAGAGAGCTGTAAAATGCTCTCCTGCTCACTGAGCTGCCAGAGTGAAGAAGCTGCTGGGCACCACTCCCTCCTACTTGCCGAGCTATGGGAGCAAAAAAAGTTGCAACACTGTTATTCGTGGCAACATGGATAAACCTGGAAGACGTTACATTAAGTGGAATAAACCAGCCAACAAAGACAAATACTGCATGAATCCGCTCATTTGTGGAATCTAAAAAAGATGATCTCCTGGAAGTACAGAGTAGAATGGTAGTTACCAGAGGCTGGAGATTGTAGGGGGAAGGGCAGATGGAAAGAGATTAGTGAACAGGTACAAAATTACAGTTACATAGGAGGAAGAAGTTCTGCTGTTTTATTGCCCAGAAAGGTGACTAGAGTTAACAATATTGTATTATATATTTCAAGATAACTAGAAGAAAGGGTTTTGAATGTTCTCACCACAAGGAAATGATAAATGTTTGAGGTAATGTTTCTACTAAATATCCTCATTTAATATTTACACAATGTGCACAAGTATCAAAACATCACAGTGATCCCTCTATATATGTACAATTATTATTTGTTAATTAAAATCAAACTAGAACATAAAAGGAAATAATCAATAAGCTTGAAGACAGAATATTTGAAATCACCCAATCAGAGCAACAACAAGAAGAAAGAATGAAAAAGAATGAAGAAAGCTTACAGGAATTATGGGACACAATCAAGACACCTAACCTACACTTAATAGGAGTTAAAGAAGAAAAAAAAGTTCTAAAAAGATATTTAAAGAAATAATGGCTGAAAACTTCCCTAATTTGAGGAAATAAGACAACACCCAGGCACAGAAAGTTCAGAGATCTTCAGTCAAATTCACCCTAAGGAAGCTCACCACACATAATGATCAAACTCTTAAAGAGCAAAGACAAAGGGAAATTCTGAGAGCAAAGAGAAAGAAGAAATACATCACACAAAAGAGTACCAATACCACTATCAATGGACTTCCCAGCAAAAACCCTGTAATTCAGGAAAGAGTGGAATGATGTATTCAAAATGCTGTAGGCAAAACACTTCCAGCCATTAGAACAAATGGAACTAATAGACATATATAGAGCATCCTATTCAAAAGCAACAGCATACACATTCTTCTTAAGTGCACATGCCACACTCCTCAGGATAGATTATATTTATTATACCATGAGACAAATCTTAGCAAATTTAAGAAAATGTAAATTATATCAAATACCTTTTTTAACTACAGTATTATAAAACTAGAAATCAATAAAACCAGAAACTTCAGAAAATTAAAACATACATGGAAATTAAACAACAGAGTGGCTAACAGATACATGAAATAATGCTTAATCTCACTAATCCTTAGGGAGATGCAAATTAGAACCACAATGAGATACCATCTCACATTATTATAATGGCTATAATCAAAAAGGTGAAAGACAGTGGGTGTTGGCAAGGATATAGTGAAAATGCAGCCCTTACTCTTGGTGGGAATGCAAGTTACTAAAGTTATTATGGAATACAGTTCAAAATACTAGACATAGAATTACCATATCAACCAGCAATCCCATTCTGGACATTTACCCCAAAGATTTGAAATCACCATGTTGAAGGAATGTCTGCACTCCCATGTTCATTGCAGTGCTATTCACAGTTGCCAAGTTATCAAATCAACCTAAGTTTCCATCGAGAGATGAATTGATAAAGAAAATGTGGCATATATATACCACAGAATACTATTCAGCCTTTAAAAAGGAGAAATTCTATAATTTATACAATATGGTTGAAATTCAAGAACATTATGCTAAGTGAAATGAGCAAAACACAGAAAGACAAATAATGCACATTGTCATTTACATGTGGAATCTAAACCAACTGAACCCATAAAAGCAGAGAATAGAATGATGGTGTATTAGTTTGCTCTCATGCTGCTAATAAAGACATACCTAAGACTGGATAATTTATAAAGGAAAGAAGTTTAATTGACTCACAGTTCCACATGGCTGGGGAAGCCTCACAACCATGTTGGAAGGCAAATGAGGGACAAAGTCATGTCTTACATGGTGGCAGGCAAAAAGCTAGTGTAGAGGAATTCCCTTTTATAAAAGCATCAGATCTCATGAAACTTAGTCAGTATCATGAGAACAGCAAGGGAAAGACCCACCCCTGTGATTCGATTACCTCCCACCAGATCCCTCCCATGACATGTGGGAATTATGGGTGCTACAATTCAAGATGAGATTTGGGTGGGGACACAGCCAAACCATATCAGGTGGTTATCAGAGGCTTAGAGGTGGAGAGAATGGAGAGATGATCATCAAAAAGTACAAAGCCTCATTTAGAAAGGAGGGATAAGTTTGATTTTTCTTTTTACATCTATAGCATAGCGTGTTGAATATAGCTAATAATTGATTATGGTACAATTCAATATCACTAAGACAGCAAATTTCTAATATTCTCATCACAAAAAGAGCTAAACTTTGATGTGTTAGATATGTTAATCACTTTAATTATTCCAAATTTTGTTAAAAAATTGTAACAACACTTGGTACTCCATAATATGTACAACTGTCAATATATTATTAAAATTAACAAAAAAAAATCATGATAGAAAAAGAGTATCCAAAATGACCCTAAGTTTGTCATTTAAGCAGCCAGAAGAAAAACAATGCTGTTTATTGGTTTAGGAAAGAATTTGAGAAGAGCAGATTTGGGCAGAATTTCAGAAGCTCATCTTGACTTTGTGTTTGCTAGCTGCCAGAGAAAAGGAGGCAGGATAAGATAAATGGCTGCAGGCATCCAAACAAAAATTCTTCAAGGAAGCAAAATATTTTTGTTAGAAATAGCACAATTGTTTGCCATATTTTGGATGGATTTTTCCTTAAGCAGACACCTGGCCTCTCTATAAATCTTTTCTGACTCTATAAACAGAATACCTTGTTTTATCATTTTGGAAAAAAAATAGGTATGATTGGCTTCATTCTGTTTCCTTGGGTGAATGTGGGAGTAGCATTTGGAAATATTTTGCTTTTTCAAGAAAAGCCAGATTCTGGATGACTTTAATGTGAAATTTATCAGCTTTTAAATTAGCTAATTACAATTATTTAAAAATACTGTTTGGGCCAAAAACAGAAAGCCTGCATTCTGTTTCAGTCCATTCACTGTTCTCTGTGATTTTTATCCTACATCTTAACTTGGGCCTAGCTGAACAAGTTATTGCTTACACAGCAAGTGGTGTATTAAGTCAAACGAATTTAGCTACCAATAAGTCGGCAGTATTTTGGGGCTTGTATTCATTAGGTGAAAAAAATACTTGCAGCATTTTACAAAAAATATTACTTACTTTGGCTCAATAAAATGCCAATTAAATCTCTGTAGTTGGTATTACTGTTAATCAAATATAAATTGTCAGAAAACCATATTGAATCTCTAGAGATAGGAAATTGTGTATCTGTTTAATATACCATACTCAACTAATCCATCTAAATGAAATGTAATAGCTGGAGGTAGATATTTATTTCCTCTGAAGTTTATTTCTCATATTTATGTTTGTGTGATGTTTCATTATATCAAAACTATGCAAAAATTGCAGAGGCAGTATGTTTTGTAAAAATGCCTGCTTTAGTCCCTCTTAAATTATTCCTTTTCACTGCATTATTGTTTAATAAAATTGCATTAATAAAATAGAACAATCACTATAATCCCTGTATTCTAATAGCAGTTTGTCAACTCTTCTTTCTAATATAAAATTAGCATGGAAATTATACCTTATAAACTTGAAGAAAGAGTAAGTGGCAAATAATTTTTAATTGTTGATATGCTAATAAACATCCATTATCATCCATTGCTATAAATGTCTTTTATGTATTAAGACACAGATTTCTTGCTTGTAATTAAACTACACAAGCATTGTGGTGTCATTAAGTCTGTAAATGTGCTGATATTAATGGGTACATTAATAAGTAGTAAGCAAAGCTAAGGCAGGCCTCCCTGGAGGCGATGGCTTGAGGAGAGATTCTGAATACTAGGTCATCTTAATTTGTGCTGGCAGTCACACCTTGTCTTTTCAATTTATTATTGTTTAATTAAAAGTGGCTTGAGGACATACAAAAATTAGCCGGGCATGGTGGCCAGTGCCTGTAGTTCCACCTATTTGGAAGGTTAAGGTGGGAGGATTGCTCGAGCCTGGGAGGTCGAGGCAGTAGTCAGCCATGTGCGTGCAACTGCGCTCCAGCCTGGGCAACAGAGAGTTAACTTATGAAAGCACAAGTGTAAACTAAAAATAGAAAAACAAAACCAAATAAAAGGAAAGACTGAGAATTAAACACAACATCATGAGTGATGTAAACACAACAAGAAAAAAACAGTTCTGTTTTTTAGCTCTTTAATAACAAGAAAAGTCTATGATGATTTGGAGAAATCAATTTTTCCAAAGGTTATGTTATGTTTCCTGGCTTCTGATCAGCATTATTAGTGGCATAGTTTCCCCTCTGGAGGAGCTTAAGGTCTCTACTTATTGGAACTTCTGATATGGGTCAAGAATGTACAAATTGGGAATACCAAAATCAAGTCTCAGTTAGAGAATGTGAAGTTTTTATTCAGGACAGTATAAATGAACAAAGATGGAAGCAAATGCTTTCTTCTGTGTTTGCCTTTCCATGGATCTTAGTGTTAGAAGGTGGTGAAACTCTAGGGCTGGGATCACAATGTGGACTTTGGAAATAAGGACAAAGGAATCTATTTTCTCAACATTGAGTATATGTTACTGCTTCGCAAGCCTGACTGTAACCTGACCTGGAGTTTTGGCATCAGTCTTTTGAAAAAGTCATCCAAGTGATTCTGCTAGAAGCCAGGAGAGGTAACCACTGATTTAGGCTACGTGGGGTACAAATGACAGAGAACAGCTCAAATGTTTGAATACTACATCACTGTATAGATGTTTAAAGCCCAAATACTAGCCAATAACATACAGTAACTGCCTGGAGCCTTGTGGCAAGGCAAAAAGGACATAGCTTTCAGGTGATCAAGCTTTTTACTTAATTAACCAGCACAGTATGCAATGGCCTCAAAGAAAATTACATGTATGCAAATTTACATTTTTAAAGTGAGAAACAGATAATGAGATCTGTTTCTAAATTAAGAGTGCAAGGTTCACTGGGACAGGCAATGCTTATGAAAGACAAACGGGAGAGAAAGTAGGATTAAATAGGGAAAGTCTTCAGACCATGATATAGATCTGACATCTGTGAAAAGAATGGGAAGGGAAAGCAGGATTGGGCATGGGAAGGCTCCAACTCTGATGCAGATATGGCAACGTCTTGGCCAGTCCATTTGTGAACAATAAGGAATGCCAGGCAGAGAGGTCCTATATTGAGTTGAATGAGATTGGACCTGTTATCACTGACATGCTCAGTTATTGCCTGGGGACTGTCCAGAAAGATTTTAGTTCCATCAGAAAAGCTGAGGTGAATCTTGAAGGTTCCAAGAGCTGGAGGCAGTAGGTAATTACACTCCTTGCAGGTGGAGAGCAAGATATTCCTTGATGAGAGATTGAAGGGCTGTGGTTCTGTGACTGCTACAAACTGCATACAGCATATTGTTGACATTTAAAATTTCTTCCTTCAATTAGCTTTTTTAATTATAAATCATTGATGAGATGTTACTACCTCCTGGCAAAGATATCTGGCCACCAAATCCAGAGGAAAGGGTGATAACTTGCCTTCACCATCCATCTCCACAGCTTCTTTGCCTATATTCTTGATCTTCGGTTAATCATAAGTTGATTTTTTTTTTCCAGAGAAGACTTTCTATTGTTACTTAGATTTTATGGGCATCAATCATACAACCACCTATTAAAGGAGAGCCCTGAACACAATGCTAGATAGAGTTGATAGAAAAACCTACCATTTGGTCAATCATAAAAATCTTTCTATAGTCAGTATTTCTCAGCTATCCAGCTTAGACAATGGTGCTGTGCAAATAAGAAAAAAAGTCAATATTTAAAATGAGTATGCTATTCTTTCAAGTATTTTTAAATGTTTCTAGATTTTATTACATATTTGTGTTAAATAGAGTTTTAGAGCCAAGTAGTTTTTCTTGAGGGATACAAATTTTGGTAATATTCAATTACTGTACTTTGGACCCACAGTAATAGATAGATCCAAATGTGATGCTTAATTTGTTGGATCAATTTACATCATGGTCTAAACACACAAACAAATCACAAGTGGTTTTTATTCTTCTCTTTCATTGATGTGTTATATAATAGACAGACTTCTTCAAATGAATAGCAAATCTTCAAAAGTAATTATTGAATCCAAGGTTAAGCATCTTTCTTATAAGTTACATTCTTATTTTCAAAGTACTATATTTTATTTTTTAAGTACCTTTTCACTTTTAAAAGGCACTCAAAAGAATATTTAACACACCAACCCACTTTATTTCCCAAGACATATTCAATCATCTTTCTATTTTAATCACATCATCTTCATAAGAAAGCACCAACTTTTGTGAAATTACAGGAATGATTCTTTTTCCCAACACAAAGAGTCCTTGACTTATTTCCATTTTTTTTTCTTACCCTAACAACGAAATCAAAGTTACTATGAGGCTCACAGAAGAAAGTGCAAGGTAATGCCCCAGCACACATTCAATTTTTGGGTTAAGTACCCAATCTGAAAAACTTCAACATGTTCAGTATGCAAGCAAATAATTTTTATGCAGAATTATTTTTCAGTTAGAACAAGACAAAACACCACTCCAGAAACTCTTTCCCCAAATTATACAGACCAAACACGTATTGAAACTTGTATTTTAATTGAAGCCAGTCACTGGTATAATGCTAAATTTGCTGAATGTATTGTTAGAATAAAAGGTATACATGTCTTTAAATACAAATAATGAAAAAAACATATTCTCTGATTTAATAAAAATTAATTGTACTTTTATGATTTTTGAACAACTTTTGCACACATTTTTTGGTAAAATATTAGACTAGATCTTAATATGATTGTCACGACTAGGGTGACAATACAAGAGAAGAGGTACAAACTCCAAGTTTATAATTCATTAATTTGGAAAAGTATTTATTCTTTCAATTAATAAATATTTATTGATTCACTCATTCATAAAGGATATTGCTCTTTGACGTTAAGATAATATACTAAACAACAGAAAAAACAAAGCTCCGGCCTCATGCAACTTACACTTCAGCAAGTTTTTGGAGGACAGAGTAAACAGACAATAACGAAGACACAAAGAAACAAATGGAAACAATGAATAAGTTCAGGCTGTGATAACTATTATAAAGCAACATAAAGAAAAGTTGATAAGGCAACAATAATAGTGAAGTTGGAATGTTAAATAAATGGTTTTACTATCTTGCAATTGCCCCTTCTGGTTTTAAGTCATATAAAACATTAGTGAGGGAAGAAAGAAAGAATTAGAATATGATTTATCATTACGTCCCAGAAGTTTCTTTTGGCTCTTTCTTATTGTGATGAAAGAAACATTTCTTATTTTTATTTTTTTTCTAATAATAATAGGATCAAGAAAAGAGAAAGGTTGGTTAAGGTGTAAAATTTTATAAATAATATTGATCCCTTGTATTTTAAGACTTCTTTGAATATGTAGTAAAATAAAGTATGATTATGTTATATTTTTGGCAACTTGCTTTTGTCAGTTACTGGTCTGTAGAATGAAATCTATTTAACTTTTTAAATAGATTTTAAATGACTGCTAAGAATATCAATGTATGGATGAATTATAATTTATAAAATCAACTTTTTTTAAGAGAATTTGGGTTGTTTCCAGTTTGGTTCAGATTTTAGTTATTTTTGTCTTCTAAACAGCACTGTAAGAAATTTATATCTTAGCATAATTCATTGAGTATATTCCTATACTAAATTACTAGAGTCAAAATTTCTGGAACAAACAGTTTACATATTTTTAATTTTTGTAGATACAAAATTCCCAAATATACTCCTACCAAGGAGGTGAAAGTGACTCTTTTTCCTCAAATATATTAACCATAGTGACCCACTAATTCAAATATTTTAATGAGGTCCAACATAAAACCTGGTATATCTCTTTTGGTATGCACTTGCTAATGAAATGTTTCCTTTGGGCTGGGTACACCTCACAGGGTCTGATACACTTCACAGAGTTTGAGAAAACCTTTATAGAGTTTTCGCTTTACTGCTACTTTGGGTAATTAGGTCTTGCAGGTAATTAAAATAAATATATCAATAAGACATAAGAATCAAATGTGATTTCATTTGCAGTTAACATAAGAACACGAGAATTAATGTTGCTGCAGTCTTTATGTTATAGTAGCTTAGTTAATATCATATCTTAAGTAAGGTAGATTTTTTTTTTCAAATCTCTCATTTAATACTGAGAGTGGCAAGTGAACCAGGAATATGAAGCAGCTGCATCATTGTCACCATAAGGCTCCCCTAGATTGTTCTGATTGTCACCATTTCCTAGCCAGTGGCAACAGAGGCAGAGAAAATACAGGGCAGACATCTTTAAGTGGATGATTGGGAAGTGACACATGTTTCTGTTAGCATCCTGTGGCCATATCTTTCTTCATGGGAGAATGAAAAGTGTAGCTGGGAGGACATATTCTCATCTAACACTTAGTATGTTCTATTCTTAAAATGAAGAAGAAACAATAGACAGCAAGAGATAGCCTTTAATCTTTATCAGCAACATAAGTAGATAAAGGGAGAAAGAGGAACTGGACTATAAAAAGGATCATGTATTTCAATGACAGGAAACCCATCTTCTGTGTACTTCAAACTCATAATGAAATGGACGTATTCATTTCGCTTTCTGAGATAGTGAATGTAGGGATTCAGAAATGCTAAAAAGAAAGGTCACAGTTGTATGTTGGCAAGTCTAGGGTTGTAGAAATCTTATGAATAAAGTAGATGTTTTGTTGAATTTCCAAGTTGCATCA
The DNA here is from genome assembly GCF_000001405.40 of Homo sapiens. Lineage (NCBI taxonomy): Eukaryota > Metazoa > Chordata > Mammalia > Primates > Hominidae > Homo > Homo sapiens. The sequence goes on along the minus strand of NW_019805488.1, from coordinate 143,293 downwards.
TGTCCACTTGCTTTGATTCAAGAATTTTGCTATCTTAAAGCCTCAAATAACTAGAACTAAATCAAATCTGATAAGAATGATTATTTCTCAATCGTCTTACATTTGGTCACTTATAACAAGCGAGTAATAACTTAGCCAGAACTGCTTTGTCTCCTCTTCTACCTTAGGAACTTCACATCATAAGGGATTTACAACCGGGGGCAGTCTGGCTACTACCTAATCAACTAGTGGGGAATATGGCCCTTGCTTTTCACCCCTTTCACTCCTCTGCATCCTTCACTAGTACTTCCCTTTCTGTTCATATAACCTTCATATATAGATTTGAGACAGAGTCTAGCTCTGTTGCCCAGACTGGAATGCAGTGGCACTATCTCTGCTCCCTGCAACTTCCAACTCCCCGGTTTCAAGAGATTCTCCCACCTCAGCCTCCTGAGTAGCTGTGATTACAGGCGCACACCACCATGACCGGCTAATGTTTGTATTTTTAGTAGAGATGGGATTTCACCATGTTGGCCAGGCTGGTATTGAACTCCTGACCTCAAGTTATCCACCTGCCTCAGCCTCCTAAATTGCTGGGATTATAGGCGTGAGCCACTGTGCCCAGCCAGTTCTACCTAATATTGAACTGAACATTATTTAAGATTACTTAATAATATATTTTAAATAATATCTAAAAATATATAAAAAGCAGTACACAAAATGTTCAAAATGATGGATGTAAAGAAATTTCAAAAATGGGAAAGCAAAGGTAGAGAAATTTCTGAGGCAGATGCATATACCAAATGAAAACGTCATGAGCTCCTGAACACTTATGACAATAAAGATCACAATTTAGCAGCAAATTTATCAGTCAATGCTAAAAGCAAAACATTGATCCCTTCAACAGATTTTCATTGAGACACTGTACTAGGTGCTGGAGACACAACATGGACAAGGCAATGTCTTCATAGAGCTCACATGGGAAGGAAAGACTACAGTCTACTGATAAAGACTCACCATTGTAAAAAGAAAACCAAACTTTCGGATGGCTTCAACTACCATAAGTCCCCATGATACTGTTAAAACAGAATAAGTTGGCAAAGACTGGACTTCCTGAAGTGTAATTCTGTTCCATCACTAAGATAGTCTTAGACCTAATGAAATAAGTAGATCTCCAAATAGTATTTTGTTAATGAGAGTCTATATAAGATGGACATCATGCTGCATATGTCCTTATTCCCCATTCTTCCTCTGCCCGTTAAACATGCCAATTGACTTCACATGTTATCATACAATATACCACTTTTCCTCCTTCTGATGTATGCAACTAGCATCACATATAATTTAACAGAATGTTACACACAGCATTTTTGTTAAAAACTGAAAGGAAACGAGGCAGACTACAATTCGTAATTAAAAATTAGTAATATGAATGTATGTTCCCCTTGTGGTAATTATCAAAACAACTAAAAACAAAAGTTGCTAACAAATGCTGCCTAAAACTTAAGGTTTATTGAGAGAATAGTTTATCATTTTCCTGACCTTCTGATACTATTTGAAAAAGAAACTTATCCATGCACAACTCCTATAATATTAAAAAATGACTAAAATAGATTTTGAAATTTCTAGATCTTATGCACCAAAAAATACTGGAGAAGAAAACAGCGTAACACAGTGCCAAACATTTTAGCCTTTAAAGTTATAATGATCGTAGATGTTATAAAAATGACAAAATGATAAAGCCTTCTAACTTTTAAGCTCTTACTCTGAGCTGTGCACTGGGAAAAGTACTTTTCATAATTTCATGTAATCTTTATCTCACCTAAACATGAAATTAATACTCCTCTTGTAGATGGAGGAACATGAAGAACACCCTTCAGAGTAGTTGATGGACTAAGTGAAGAAATCAAAACACTAGTATGTTGTAGATATTATGTAATTCACAATTCCTAAGAGAAAAAATAATGTTTCTCAGGAGAAATAAGGCTGATGTTGAAGCTTGTAGGTACTTACACTAGAGATAAATTTCACATATTTGTCATTATGAAAAGGATAACATATCCCAATATCCATGCAGTAAATAAAATGAGTTTCCTACAACTATTTTTTTATTTTTAAGAAAATTCTTATTGGAAAAATGAAAATGAAGATAAATACATAGAAAGTGAACATTTTTCCTCCCTCTTTCTCCCTCCCCTCCTCTCCCTTTCCCACAATTTCTACACTTTAGAAGAAATAACTTTCTTTACTCTGCATGCTTGGCAGAGTATCCGGCTAAATGTGGCTTTATATTATTTGAAAAATTTGATATTTTCCAAAGTTACACAGTAAAATAGTTTCTGTGAGTTTAATCTAACTGTGAAGCTTTTTGATATAGTCTACTTTAACACAAAGATAAATTCTGCTAAACTACAGCTAAAATGACTTAATTTCTTATCCTTTAGATAATCCTCTATAAATATTTCATCAGTCAAATGTTTATAGAATACATATTAGATGTGACATACTGTGGTCACTAGGTCCAATTTATTTTTGCATTGCTTTACTTGAAATATTCATGGATTAATTTAGACAGCATTTAAATAAAAATAGCACTGGCCAGGATTGATAAGTGCAAAGAAAGAGCAGTGGATAAATGCCAAAGGGTTCTAAGGAGAGAGACATTTCTTCCAGTTGATGGGGTCAGGGATTAATGGAGAATATGGTTAAATAAGAACTGAGTTGGATTTATTTGGAGGAGAACGTACTGTCGAGATAAAGAAAAAAAAACAAACCTAAGGAAGATGAGAGAAAGGGAGTAAATGAAAAAGGGAAAAGGAAGACTAGTGAGGATTCATAAAGAGTTGTCAATAAGACCTTTAGATTCTTCTTATACTCTTCCTAGGACATATGTTAAATTATTTTTAATGGAAGTCTAGGGAGTATCTGGAGGTGCCTGTGAAGCCTGAGCAGTAGATGATATAACAAGTGGACAGGGCTTTGAGGCACCAAATGGACAGGGCTTTGAGGCACAATCAAGGTCTCAACCAAAGCAGCTGAATTTTATTCTTTTTTGTTTTTCTATTTAGGTGGAGGTGAAGCTCTTTGGTTAAAAGTGACAGAAACCCTACTTCAACCTAAGGGGTAAAAGATATAATTTATCATCAGAAAAAAAAAAACTCTAAAAGGGCAGGGTTGCAGCTGGGCTTTAGGGAATTCAACTGAGGATTGAAACTTTTCTAGAAAATACCGATTTCTTTGGGTTAATAAGATTGCCTATGATATGTGACGTGCAGCTTCTTCATGTTCCTCAATATGGTTCCCATTAGACAGACATAGTTGCCTGAAACTCCTGTATCTTCTGTCTTACAGCATCATCATTGGAGAATATAAGTCTCACAAGGTCTTGTTTGAAAAATCCTAGAACAAAACTCTGTTTCTGGCTCAGATGTTTATCCTCGGGCCAATTAAATGGAACCAGAGGAGAGAACAGTATGAAAAAAAGTTGCCTCATCTATTTCTGTTCTTATCCTCACTCAAACCCCTCTGTTTATACTGAAATCCTTTCTGTTCTTCAAGCTTACAAGGCCTGCTCTTACCTTAGGGCTGGCATTAACTGCTCTCTCTGCCTATAACACTAGATACTCCATGAAATGGGGAAATAATAAAGAGTTTCAACACTCCATGGGTTTTAGCTACATGTCTGAAAGCTAGGTTTTAATTTAGAGAAATCATGATGGTTGAAATCTAGCAAAAGTAGAATAGCATATACTGTCCTCTTGTTTAGCATTCTTCTGGTTGCTAAACTGGCAGAATACCTATTGAGGGACTTTGACCTATTAAATTCTGCATTGGATCCACCATATATACATATAATTTTTGTAATGCCTTTTACTTGGCACACTAACCTTGTGGATATTTCTTCAAATATCTCATGAAAATGTGATGTTTGCCTTATGTGTGCCTGATATATGCCAGGCATTATTCTAGTTCTTAGGGATTAAAAGGTGAATATTAATCCCCTTGGGAATCAAGAGCTTGCTTTCTACAGAACCTCATAATATTGGGTGGGGAGGGAGAAGCCGTATATATAAACAAAATAGATAAATAAAAAATACTCAATAGTGATAAGAACCATGAAAATAGAGTGGTGAGACAGCAGGTGACTGGTACTGCTCTTAGATTGTATTATTAGGAAAGACTTCTTTTTGGTTTTGAATAATAAATGATCAAAAAGAGCTGCTGTGTGACTGTCTCAGTCAATTCAAGCTGCTGTAGCAAGATACCTAATACTTAGTGGCTTAATTAAAAAGAAATTTATTCCTCATAGTTTGATATCAGGGTGCCCGCAGGACTGGGTTCTGGTGAGAGCCCTCTTCTGGTTGGGTTGCAGTCAACTTCTCATTGTATCCTCATACACTGGAAAGAGGGCAAGAGACTCCCTGGGATCCCTTTTATAAGGGCGCTAATCCCATTCATGAGGATTACATTCTCATAACCTAATTACCTCCCAAAGGTCCCGCCTCCTAACATCATCACATTCAGGGCTGGGATTTCAATATAAGCATTTTGGGGTAACACAAACATTCAGTCCATAACAGTGACTATGAGGAAGGAACTTTCCAAAAGGAGTAGTTAATGAAAAGGTCCTACAGAAGGGAGAGCATTCATTCATTCATGGGTCCATCTTATAAATCCTATTGACTCGTATTATATGCTAGGCCTTGTGTTAGGCTTTAAGATTCAATAGTGAATAACATAAAGATCTCTGCCTTCATGACACCTACATTCTGGAGGTAGAATTGGACCATAAATAATAAGCATAGTAAATATGCTATATTTCACATTAGAGATTAATAACTGCTGTAAAAATAGTACACAGTGAGGAGAAATTAAAGAGCAAGTTGTATGGTGTGTGGAGAGGGCCAAGACATTATAATACTAGGTTACATTATAATACTAGGTTACATATTATAGTATTACATATAATACTAGGTTACATCTTCATTGAGATGTTTTGAACAAAGACTTAGAAAAGATGTTGTATATCTCATGGAATCTATAAAGAAACTGGAAGAAAAATACTCAGCTCAGAACAGAGGCAGGAACCTAGAAATGCAAGATATCAGAGACACAGTCATAGCAAAAGGACAATTTGGTAGGAAGTCAACTGATAGTAATGCCACTATTGCTGAATTTGCCACTGTCACTATGCTTGGGCTCTTAATACTCTATCTGTGACTGATTTCTCAACTCTTTGTGTTTTCCCATCACTCCTACCAGATTTGAAATTCCAGGGAGAAGAAAAATTGTCCTTTAAGTTATTTCTTAAGCCTTTTTCCTATCTTAGATGGGACAAGAGAGACACACTTGGATTCTCTGGCTTTACTAGTGAGAATCAAGAGCTTGCTTTCTGCAGAGCCTCATAAAATGGGAAATTTCCCCAAAAAGAGTAATCTTCAAGCTCTGTATAGCAGATAAAATAGCAGATACCAGCAGAAACTTTTACCATTCTACTTTATCAACTCCTTAAATAGCAAAACGAGAAAAAAAGTACAACTGAATTAAAATTGAGTTAAAATCTGATTTACATGTGAATTATAGTCCTAAATTAGGTTCTAAAATTTATCCTAATATTTGCAATGTTTTGACTCACTTGATTTGACATTCAGTAATAGTTAAATTGTAGTTACATTTAGCCATTGCCTATTTAACATTCTATTTTCATAAAATATTATAAAAGCTTCTCTATTTTAATAAAATCTACTGGATTTTAATTTTCAGCTTTAAAAAGTCCCCTCTGAAATATCTGACCTCCAAAAGCAAAATACAAGAAGAGTAATTCGCAAAACATATTGTTTTTATTTTCCCCGTGTTGGACTATCAGATTTCCCCTGGTCTTGAGAGATTTGTTAACTTCTCGAAATTCATATTGTTAATGCTTTCCACTGGAGATTATCAGATTACAGTAATCAGAGCTCATTGCCAACCCTTTTCTAATAACTTCCTGGAGAATATCTGAAAGCCCATTAATATGCAGTACATTGAGCTGCTTCAGGGTTTGCAACTGTATTGGAGAAACAGAGAACAACTTATACAATTTCTCTGGGGTATGTATAAATCTCTTCAACCCTGATGTGTATGTTGTATTAATAACAAAACCATGCAGGATGGAGCAATTGTGTAAGGAACAGAATATTAAGCTTCTTCTTTTTAAAACATTACTGCTACTTCCACAGTCTCCAAATTTTTATTTTATGATAAATGCATTACCTTTTTGCTTGATACTTCAAAAATTTGGATGCTTCTCTTTTTTTTTCTTAGAGATCTGTCTTTTGAATTGTTTAACAATACCATAATATTTTGAGTGGTGTCTTCCTTCCTTTAGCGATATTTGTGAATGCACATCCCCTGCTGTATTTATTGTGCCTTCTATGTGTCAGATCAGCAAGAATCAGATGTCTCCTCTGCCTCTAAGATGCCTCAGGGCAACAGGCAAATGGCCATGGACCAGGACCTCAATATTTCTTGCTCTTTTTGCTTGGTTTCTTCTGCTATTTTCCAATTCTGGACTCTATTTAAGTAGTAGTTTTTTTGTGACTCTCCTGTTTAACTTGCAAGTTAAGTTTGTTTTCCCAACGTCATTGGTAATAGGCTTCTTTGAGAATAGACTGAAGCGTTTTCATTAAGCTAAAAGTTTTCCGTTCTACTCCCAGGTATAACTACCCAGCCATCTTACTAACTTGAAGTGAAATCACTAGTGTTAGTCCCAAATGATTGTCCTCTTTATGTCCCCTTAAAAATGTTTACACTTGTAATTCCCATACTCAATGGAAAGCCTTGATGTTGTTAAGCAACATAATGGAAGAATGGAAGTGAAATTTCATTTTTCATGTGTATTACAGTTTCATATTTTCATAAGTTGACTGCACAGTTTCATGATCAATACTTACAAGGAGTTCATAAATTTCTCAAGATTTTGAGGTTTCTTTTTCCCTTTTACTCTTTAGCAAAAAAAAAATGCAAAATTTAACAATGATTCAAGAGACTATATTTAGGAAACTATAAGTTTCTGAAACTAAGAGTGTAGAACATAAAGAGAATGAAGTTTTTCTACAAGCACATCCTCAATAAAGCAGAAGTGAATGAAATCAACTCCAGATTTACCCAGTATCTTCTTTACTTAGAGCTCCAATGTACTCTCTTCATTTAATGTAATTTTAAAATTTAACCACATAAATTTCTTCTACTAATATGATTTACACTTTCCTAATTTTAACAAATTTTCCCTAGTTAAAATTATTCTTTAACAATTTTTTTTAGTTTCTAATTTTTATTTTTAATCATTGACAGATAGGCTGGGCACAGTGGCTCATGCCTGTAATCTCAGCACTTTGGGAGGCCGAGGCAGGTGGATCACCTGAGGTCAGGAGTTCAAGACCAGCCTGGCCAACAAGGCAAAACCCCATCTCTACTAAAAATACAAAAATTAGCCGGGTTTGGTGGCAGGCGCCTATAATCCCAGCGACTCAGGAGGCTGAGGCAGGAGAATCGCTTGAACCCAGGAGGTGGAGGTTGCAGTGAGCCAAGATCACGCCACTGCACTCCAGCCTGGGCGACAGAGTGAGATCCTGTCTCAAAAGAATAATAATAATAATAATAAATAAAATAAAAATTGGGACATAATAATTGTACATATTTTGGAGGTATGCAGTGATATTTTGATACATGTATATAAGATGTATTGATCAATTCAGGGTAGTTAGCATATCCATCACCTCAAACATTTATCATTTCTTTGTGTTGGGAACATTCAAACTCTTCCCTTCTAGTTGTTTGAAAATACATAATAAGTTATTAGTCACCCATCAATGCGATAGAACACTAGAACTTATTCCTTCTATCTAGCTGTAATTTTGTGTCCATTAACCACCATCTCCCTTCTCCTCCTTCTGTTTCCCAGCTTCTAATACTACTACTCTACTCTCTATTTCTATGAGCACAACATCACAACAGTTTAAGCTTCCACATATGAGTGAGAACGCGTGGTATAAAACGAGTTATTCTTATTCTTGCTGTTGACAGATGTGTTTCATGCCTAGAGCTTCTAATGTCAGACAATAACCTGATATTTCATGAATAGATGACATATCTGAAGAAAATGAAAAAAAAAATTCTATTCTGAAAATTTAACCAATTTCAGGAAAATTAACTTTGTAACAGCCACACAAAATTCAGTGGCTTAAAATAGCAACTACTTACCATTTTTCACAAGTATGCAGATAAGCTGAGGATCATAAGCCTGAGGATAGGCTGATCAAGGCTGAGTTACATTTGGTGATTCTCTGGCTTCAGCTTTGTTCGTTCACACATCCTGGCACAGCTGAAAGGTCAGCTAATCTAGACGGACATGACTGGGTTTAGCTCAGTTCCACATGTTTCTTAATCCTTTCCTGTGATCTGGCTGCAGCTGGGGCATGTTCTTCTCATGGTAACAGCAGAAATGCATGCCTCTTCTTGCAACAGGTCTACTGAAATTTCATTAACAGAGCAAGCATATGTTCAATTCAAGAATCTGGCGGTGAGAAAGAATCTCCACTTACAGTAAAAACCACCACAAAGTTACTTGACAAATGGAGTCAATACTGGGAGAGGTAAAAAATTGGGGCCATTAGTGCAATCTTTCACACCATTCATGATGGTGAAAAAAAGGGAGGATACCTACGTACCTATCAATATATTAACTGTTTATATTACTTTTAATGGCAAAAACCACAATTACTTTTGCACCAACCTAATACATCAACTAAGTATATCAATCTACTCATTAGTATATCAACTGTTAGCTATTTAAATGTCTTTAATATATTGAAAAATTATCTGTATTGGTTTTTATGAAAGTGAGATGAACCATGGATCATAGAAATTATTTCCACTTAATAATTAAGGGAAATCTAAAGGTGAAATGCACCTTCTAAACTTCTCACCAAATGATTCCACATACCAGTCTGTTTGCAATATAACTAAATGCAAGTCTTTAGAGAGCTGCCCTGGGACAAACAAGAATTGCCAAGCAGAACAAATAGGTAAACAGCAATAATCAAAGGGACCTTTCAATGGTGTTCAAATGATACATAGCAAACGTATTTATTTAGACAAACTGCTAATGTGATTGCAGTTTAAACATTTCTAACTCTCTCTGTTCCCATTTTTCTTATCTATCAGATAGGCGTGCAAAGGTAAACCATGTAGAAAATTAACTTTTGTGAGAATCATTGACATTTCTTGTGCACTGCTATGTGTCAGGGTATTTTGCAAGTCATTTTACATTGTCTTCAATCCTTTCACAAAACTTCAGTGTAGGTATTACCATTGGTATTTTACAGGAATGATACTAAGGTATGATCATTTAGGTAACCTGCCCACAATCCTAGCTAGCAAATAATGAGAATTCAAATTTAAGATGGTCTAATTCAAATGTTTAGGTACTGTGGGTTTTATTTTTAATATAAAGAATGTATCCATTGTCAACCCAAGAATAATGAGGCTCATACATTTGGAAAGGAAAGCTTTATTTTTCATAAAGCATTGCAGCCTGCAGGGTGGCCATTCTGACAGACTGGAAAGCATAGCCTCTGGCCAGAAGCCAGAAACAGACACTTAAAGGGAAGGACAAAGGGAACAGGAATTGATGCTGAGCAGGGTGGTAGAATATACATATTTAATAAAGTAGAAGGAGTCATGAATATCTTTGAAAGGAGAAACATGCACATGCGCAATGGAACTTCATGCCCCTTCATGAGTTGCATATAGATTGGCTTGGCCAGAACCACTCCATGGGTGGTCTCTTATCAGGAAGAAATGCTGATCAATTGTTGCATGGAAACTGCAGAAGGGAGGAGCAGCATCAGGCAGTTGGTTGATGTAGGCCTGATAGCAGCCAAGGAGTCTTTTGAAAGACCTGCTTTCTGTTTATCCTCTCATTAATCTCACAGCAAATGAGTTCCTTGGTCAGAAACAATATTTAGGATCCTATGACAGTGATATGGTTTGATTCTGTGTCCCCACCCAAGTCTCATGTTATAATTCCCGATGTTGAGGGAGTGACCTAGTGGGAGGTGATTAGATCGTGGGGGCAGGTTTCTCCCTTCCTGTTCTCATGATAGTGAGTTCTCATAAGATCTTGTTTAAAAGTGTCTAGCATGGGTGGGTGCAGTGGCTCATGCCTATAATCCCAGCACTTTGGGAGGCCAAGGTGGGCAGATGGCTTGAGCTCAGGAGTTTGAAACCAGCCTGGGCAACATGGCGAAACTCCATCTCTACAAAAATTACCCAGGTGTAGTGGCACCTGCCTGTAGTCCCAGCTACTGGGGAGGCTGAGGTGGGAGCACTGCTTGAGCCCAGGAGGTGGGGGTTGCGGTGAGCTGAAATTGCGCCCCTACACTTCAACCTGAGCAACAGAGCAAGACCCTGTCTCAAAAAAAAGTGTGTAGCACTTTCCCCTTTGCTCTGTCTCTCCTGCTCCACCATGGTGAGACATGCTTGCTTCCCCTTCACCTTCCACCATAATTGCAAGTTTCCTGAGGCCTCCCAGCCATGCTTTCTGCCAGAACTGTGAGTCAAATAAACTTCTTCATTTAAAAAAAAAAAGAGCTGCTTTCTGTTTAGCCCTTAGGAATGAAAGCCTAATGACAGTTAGGGAGGGAGGGGATATAACAACATGTCTGACCTCCTACTCATCAGGGCCAAAATCTCAGTTTTCAAGGTTGCTCTGGAGTCCCATTGGCCAAGATGGGTCCATTCAGTTAGCTGAGGAGCTTCGAATTTCATTTCTATTTCTCACCGTACTGACCCAATTCCTGGAAATAAAATGAGGTCCAGGGCTGCTGCTGCTGCATAAAGAGGGAAAGAAAAAATGTTATCAGGGTAATCTATTTAGGTGTTTTTGGAAATCCCTTGCCCAGTTTTGATGATAAATGGGCAACTTCTCACAGCACACTAACCTGAGAAGGCCATGGTGACCAGGGGCTTAGAGCCACAGGTCATGTCACTAGGTACTAGCAGAGGTACTAGATGATATTATGGGGAATCTAAAATGGGTAGTGGAGAGGAGAGACATTGCACATCCGTTGGCAGGGGCAAAGGGTGTTTTTGTCCCATTGACCTGCTTTGCTAAATTTTCCTCCAGATGATAGGTCTGCCAGGATGTATATGCAGAGGTGAATTTGAGTTATGTAAGAGATGAACTGTGGTGAAAACTCTGATGTACCCTTCCACGTTGGACTTGTTGCCCCTTCTTCTGGAATTACTATCGGCATATAGCCTTCAGCTGTTAGCTCCTGCGAGGATTAGACTCTGCTTAAGACAGCCACTTTGCTTAAAGTCATTTCCCTTCCCAGGTCAGCCCACTTCCCGTGATTGATTGAACTAGAAGTCTAAGGTTTGGCCATCTTAGCCCAACATGAGACAATTCTAAAGGATCCACACCTCACCATAAGTTAAGCTGTGGTGGCTGCCGCAAATTGACTTCTTGTTCTTCACAGTTTTCTTTCCTTCTCTCCCTCTTGTATTGACTCCAAAGGCACTCCATAGTTAATATCCTAAACACTAAACTCCATCTCAGAGACTATTTGCTGGGAATCCAATCTGCAACAAATGCAAGCAAAACAAAACAAAACAAAAAACTCTGTAATAACATTTTCCAGCAATTCATGACACTACAGTCTCTAGGTTTATATGGAGTCAAGAAACATCTTACCAAAGGAAGCAACAAGGGCTATTTGTACTTGACTCTTTTAAAATATATACTAAATTACAATACAAAAAGACTTTTTCACAGTCTTAGACTTTGTCTTTCGGGTTGCTTCTTATTCTTACCTCTGGAATAACAAATGCAAAACCAAAAGGCCATTATGATGGTTTTTCATGAAAAGAAGTTGTCTTCTTCAAAGATGAATTTAATTCACTTCCATGAATAAGAATTAACTGCTCAATGTTAATTTTGAAAATTTAATGTGGAATTTTAATTTTCTGCTTTCAGTAATTACTATTATTTTGTTTTAAATTTAGGATTGGGGCATTGAACTTGCTGAGAAAATCTAAACCTCAAGACAGGAGAAGTATTTGTTAAGCCTAACAAGAACATTAAATAGCCACCATCTGTCCCATGTAATAAAATTAATGAGTTTTCCTTCCACTGTCTCTATTAATAAAGTCTTTGGGAAAAAAGTTGTGGCACTAAGCACCTGGGAATGAATTTCATGTGCTTTGATGGGGATCACAATTTCCTGAAACACTTTCTCCCCACTTATTTAAGTATTATTCTTTGCAAATTATCAGGCTGTCACAGTTCAACTAATATATAGGGAAAGGATTTTTATTTCTGCATTTTCCCACCTGTGACTACCTTGATAAGTGAGGGTATAGTAATGAATCTGTGTAACTCAACCCCAGTGGTAGCAGTGGAGACAGAAAGGAAAGAACTTCAGGAAAAAAGGAAGAGGCATCTTAAGAGAAATTGAAATTCCATACATAGACGCATCTAAATACTGTTAGGTGTGATAAAAATGTCAGGTGCTATTAATCTTGAGATACCATCAAAATATATGGCCATCATTACAACTGAATATTAATAGGACTTTCTACCATCAAGTAATTACATTATTAACATTTTATAGTAGTTGGTCGAATCATCCATATGTGTAAGAGGTTATTTTAAATAAAACCAAATTTTGTCCAACAGTTTAAGTTCATAAAATCTTTAAAAAGAGAAAAACAATGAGGGAAAGATTACCTTAGTGTTTCTTGCTACCATGCCATCAACTTGAAAGCTTATGTATCATGACGTCTATCAAAATGTCAGTTCTTTATATCACCTCCTTACAAAGAAGAAATCTGTCTGCCATTTTCAAGCTTTACTGAAAAGACTATCCATAATTTTGAGCAAAATCAAACCACTTATTTTATGTTGAACACAAAGGAAAAGAATTCCTTCAATAAAAATGAAATGTCTTCATGGGAGCATTAAGCACATTCAAATAACTATGAAAATAACTATTAGAATTAAGATTGAATCCAGATTTGGAAGTTTATTAGTGTCTTATATTATGAATATGAACATTTACTTTATGTTCACAATTATCATATTTATATATCAGATTGGAATTCATTTATGATTATATTTTAGCTAAGAAAAATTGGATTAAAAAAAGGAGTAGCCTGCACATGTAAGAATAGAAGAACTGAGAAAGAACAGAGTCCAAGCAATAGCTGTGACCAGAGGACTTTACCCTATGGGATCTGAAACAGCCATAGGAAATGGAATGCATTCTTCAATGCTTCTAGCAAGAATCAATCTAGTATAAGTTTGTAGAGTGTTAATAGGTCAATGTTTAATCATCTCTCCCTCTCCTGCCTGGATTTGTCTATTTTTTTGATTAATAGATAATATCATTCTTTCATATATTCAATTTTCCTCAGAAATGTAAACACAACACTCTATAAAAATAGGAAATTGGACACTTCTTCAAATATACTATTTATAATTAGGTGGATTACATATAGAATATCTTTAGGATATTCAAATTGATTTCAGTAAAAAATAAAATTTTGCATGTGATTTGAATTGAGCTGGTGAGTGTTTTTGCAGTTACGGTGTTGTCTGAGCAGTTTCATATCATCTAAAGTTGTTTTCAATTTGAGAAAGAAAGGATCATTAATTTGTAATTGTTCTCACTTCAGAAAACTCAAAATGTTCGAAACATTAGTGTTGAATAGCAAATCTGAAAATGACTCTCCCAAACCTAAATCACAACATTCACCATCAGCTTATTAGAAATGTAGTAAAAAGGTCAGTAGGACACTAAAGCCAAATAGAAATCTTCTTGAAATTGAGAAGGAATTAGATATAAAGGAAGTCTGGGATCAGGGAAAAGGATATGAGTGGCGTTTAACTGTGAAGGTAAGGTTGGTGGTTATGACTTTTTTGTTTCTATGATCTTGTCATGTCTTTCCCTAAGCTCCTGTACAATGTCTTCATTAAGTTTTTAAAAAACTGCATCGTATTTTAGAAGTTTAGAAATTTCATCCTTTTTGGCAGAAATTTACTTTGAATGTTCACCTTTTAAAATTTGTTTTTCTTTTCCTCTCTAGCACGGAGACTGATTCAACAAGAATGAATCATTTGTCTTTCAGTTAGGTGAGTTCTTCATTGATAAGCTGATTTTTTGGACTTTGGTGTGGAGAAAAGACTGGGATAATTGACAGGCCATCAGGGTGGGGGGAGGGGGGAGGGATAGCATTAGGAGATATACCTAATGCTAAATGATGAGTTAATGGGTGCAGCACACCAACATGGCGCATGTATACATATGTAACAAACCTGCACGTTATGCACATGTACCCTAAAACTTAAAGTATAATCATTAAAAAAAGGAATATTCCTTACGATAGAGAACTGTATGTGAGTGAGCTCTCTTAGCCCTCATTGAGAAAGTATTACACAATAGCTTTGTGTAGTGTAAACTGGAGAACTAAAAAATAAATGACAATCTACACAATGTCCCAAGAGAATTGCACCTGGATCACTGGTTTGAGACCCTAGCATATGTATTTTCAAAACTTTCTCAAGTGATCCAAAAGTAGAGTAAGAGCTAGGAATCACTATTTAGTTTTTGTTTCTCACCAACTACCTGAGTTTGTCAGACAAAGAACTGTTCAAACCACAGTCTTCTCATTGCTTTCCTGACAGAATTCTGGCCATAAATATGGGTCAGCCCCACTACTTCTGTTTGGAAATAAATTGAGCACAGTGAAGCTCTTAGGGCCAAACCATACTCCTCTTGTATTGTGTGGTTTCGAGTTTCAAACAAATAGTACTTTCACCAAAGATGGGATTTCAAAAAATTGTTGTGCTTATTGACTTTGGATAGTTTTTAACAGGATAAAATAAACAATAAATAAAAAAAACTTTTTCCTACTATGGTAAATCCAGAAATCTTTATAAATATTTTATAAGTAAATTAAATCTCTTTTTTATATTAATAGACTTTCTTTAATTTTTTTATTTTTATTTTTTCTTTTTTGAGATGGAGTCTCACTCTGTCACCCAGGTTAGAGTGCAGCAGCACGATCTCGGCTCACTTCAGTCTCCACCTTCTGGGTTGAAGCGATTCTCCTGCCTCAGCCTCCTCAGTAGCGGGGATCACAGGTGTGCACCACCACATACAGCTAATTTTTGTATTTTTAGTAGAGATGCGGTTTTGCCATGTTGGCCAGGCTTGTCTCAAACTCTTAACCTCAAGTGATTTGCCCCCCTCGGCCTCTCAAAATGCTGGGATTACAGGCGTGAGCCATCATGCCCCGCCTAGAATTTCTTAGAGGAGTTCTAGGTTTACAGCAAAATTGAGTGGAAATTACAAAGAGTTCCTGTGTACCCCTTGTCCCCACTCATGCACAACCTCCCCCACCATAAACATCCTGCATCAGTGTGGAACACTTGTTACAAGTGACTCACCTACACCAAGTTAAGTATCTTTTGATGAGAAAAGATTGGCTTCTTTTCAGAATTTGTCTTTATAGGCTGCTATTTCCCTTTGTCAGAAAACAGTGAGAAAAATCCCATGATCATTTCTCAGAAAAGTATTTTGGAAAGAGTGATATTTAGACGTTGAGCTAATGATCAGCCAGGTGCATTTTTTTTTTTCTTTCTCAAAGCTTTCTCATGTTTTTGTGAGGTTGCTATCACAAACACTGCCACAATTTCCATAAATACAACTAGGCCCAATAAGAAAAGATATTAAACTCTTTAAGAACTTTTATAAACTAATCTTTAACATCATCCCAGAAGGAACTGATCATAATGATATTGTGCCCAAGATAACACTTTGCCAGAGTGTTGCCTTTCCTCATTTCAATGAAACCTAATTTCTTTAAGGGGAGCCTAAAAACCCCCATCATTTCATTGATAGAGAGAATTTCTTTTTTTAACGTTGCAATAGGGAAGAAGCCCTGAGTTTATTCTTAGAGATTAACTCTACTACAATATTGATACTTCCATATTTGTGAGCGAGGTGGAGCTGTCTGTTATTGATAGCCTCAATTTGATTACATGTTCTGTTAAGAAAATATATCTGTGTCAAGAAATACAAGTTGCAAGATTGAATCAACTTACTTTTGTGCTATTATTGGACTATTTAATTACAGTTCATAGTTTTAGACCAACACAGGTTAATAATAAATATAAACAATTTATTGCTGTACTTTAAATATAGAATGATATTTCAAATAGTGTTGGAAACAGAAATTCATATTTAATTTTGGCATAAACTTAGTAATAAAAACCATATCAAACTGCATGAAAACATAAAAATTCTGGTTGCATTTAATAGAGTTTTGGAAATAGAGCATTTAGTTTAAAATAGTGATTTTTTTAAAAACTTGAGCTGCATTTCAGCTTAATATTTGAAAATATGTTGGTATTGACTGACAAGTTAACTGAAATATAGTATATATGAATATAGATTTTAGCCATAATTCACTACACTACAAGACTTTTATAACAATGTGTACTATAATATGGATGAGGCTCTATTGTGGGCTGTTTCATTCTTCTAGGGACACAAGCATTCACAGAAAAATGATGATATAATACACAGTAAATTTTTGAGGTGTTATATGCTCAGTTCCAGACTAACATAATAAATTAACTGAAACATTATGATAATTTTTTAATACATGAAGCCTGAAATATTAAAATCTGCATGCTTTTTATCAGAAGTTCATAACAGTGTCTAATTGTCAACTAAAATGGATATTCAGAAGCATAAATTAACAACAGATTAAGGAAATATTTATGACTTTAAAAAACTGATATTGTCTTAGATTTCAACTGAATTGCACACTGGAATACTAATAGATGGGCATATGCCTTCAGAGACCAATTAACAAATAATCTCTGGGAACTAGGGCTCAAGTATTGATACTTTGTTAAGCTCCCATAAATAACTAATGTATGTCTAGGGTTGACAGCCTTAGCCTACTGCATTCTACTTCTTCATCAATATCTTGAAAATACTGCTTTTCTATGCTAAAGAAATGGAATTTACTTCAGATGCAGATGAGGTTGGTTTAAGGGATGGCCTCTTCTCTTAGTCACAAAATTTAAGTTGTGATTTTTCTGTGCTTCCCATTGTTAGTCTTTGAAATAAGGAAGATTTTCTAGGTAAAATGCAAGATTATATAATATATATATATATATTCCAACAGAGATATCGACAATATAATTTGGAACTAGAGTAGATGTAGCGAGTAACAAAAGGTAAAAGAGAAGTAATTCTTTAGGAGAAAAGGGGAAAACAGACATTGCACATGGAAGTAAGTATGTGTATAAAAAATGAACATTTCAACAGTTTTAAACAAGCCTGTTAAGTTTAGAGAATTAGAATTCAGTTTGCAGGGTCATTTGGTGTTTGTATAAAAGGAGATAATTCTTTAAAAGAAGGTTACATGGTGATATAAGTGTTAATTATAACTTAAGATGATATACTTGACATTTCTAGAAGATAAAATGGCCACATAAAGATTAACTTTGCACTTTAAATATGCAGTATCCCTTATCCAAAATTCTTGAGATCAGAAATGTTTCAGATCTTGAATTTTTTCAGATTTTTGGAAATTTGCATGTACCTAATGAGATATTTTAGGGAAGGAACCCAATTCTATATACAAAATTCATTTGTTTCATATTCACCTTATACAAATAATCTGAAGGTACTTTTATACAATTTTTAAACAAATATTTTATCTGTAAAATATACACATATTTGCAATGATTTTGTACATGAAACAGCTTTTCACTGTGATGTCTCACGTGATCAGTTGTGAAATTTTTCACTTGCGGCATTGTGTTGGTATTCAAAAAATAGTTGATTTTGGAGCTTTCCAGATTTCAGATTTTCAGATTGGGGATATCTAACCTATATATTTTGAAAAATAAACATTTGTTTTTCAATATCCTTCATTTGAAGACTCGTTCGCCTAAGATCTTAGTACTAGAAAATAATGTCTTTCTCAACTATATAATATTGCTTTTTTTCCCAGATATTGAGACAAAGCATTCCACTTTTGTGCCTGTTTAACACCTAAGTAGAAAACTTAATGGTGAGTTCTCAAGTGGCAGAGGCAACCAATGTTCTGATTTTTTTTTCCCAGCATATGTTAGTTTTGCCTCTTTTGGAATTTCATACAAATGAAATCATACAATATGTATTCTTTTGGTATTTGGTTTCTGTTTCTCAGCATCATGGTCCTGATATATGTTCATGTAATTCCATACACGAGTTTCCCTCTTATTGCTACATAGTACTCCATGAATGAATGTGTATGAATATGCTAGGGTTTTTTTAGTCATTTTTTAATATTGGATACCTGGACAACCAGATAGTTTCCAGATTTGGGCTACTATGATAAATAAATAGATTTACTTGTAGATTAATCTACTATGGACATGTGGGTACTTTTTTTTAACGATTTAATTTATTTGGGCTAATACTTGTGAATAGATTATGTTTAAAATTGTAAGAAACTACCAGATATTTGCCAATTAGGTGTATTATCTTAGGTCCTCACCAATAATGTAGGAGAGACCTAATAGTCCACAAACATGAGAACATTTACTATAAAGTTCGATGAGTTTTCACAAATGTATATCATTATGGAATCTTTTCATCACCATACAAAGTTTTTTCCAGTGATTTTTTTCTGCTACTCTGTGTCTTTCATATGAATTTTTAATGATATCTTTTGACGAACAGAAATTTTTAATTTTAATGAAATCTAATTTTTTAAAAAAATTTTATGGTTATTGCTTTTTGTCCAGACTAAGAAGTGTTTGTTTACCCAATTGATGAATATATTATCTGGTGAGTTTTTAAAAAAGTTTTATGGTGGCTGTTTTTATGTTTAGATTAATTATCCATGTGAAATTAATTCTTGGTATAATGCATAAGTACAAATTTTTTCTCCTATATACATATTGAGCTGTTCTAGCACCTCTTTTTGAAAAGACTTTTTTCCTTTGGCCTGTTTTAGAATCTTTGTCAACAATCTAACCATACATATGTATAGATCAGTATCTGGATAGGCACTCTATTCTCTTACATTGATCTTGCTGTCCTTTGGCAGTATCACAATGTCCTTAATATAAAATTTAGTTGTGTTGAATACTGGTACTCTAAGTCTCCAAAATTGTTATTCTTTTTCAATATCACTTGAGATATTCCGGATGCTTTACAACTTTATATTTAAACTGGTTTCTTACAGACAGGCTGTAGTTGATTATTGCTTTATTGTACAGCTTGACAATCTCTGCCTTTTATCAAAGTGTTTTAGACAAGTGATACATTTTTTAAAATGTTGAAATGATAGCAGTAGACACATTTAAAAGCATAAAAAGAAACAGGCAATTGATAGCAGTTATATATTTAACTCAGTATATCCAATATATTATCATTTCAGTAAGAAATAAATACAAATATATTCATGGGATTTTTACATTGTTTTTCATACTAAATATTTGAAATCCAGTTTATATTTTACACTTAAAATATATTTCAAGTTTAACATAAAATTTTCATTGCAAATATCTTATCTTTAGGTTTCTTAAAATTTACAGTTAAAAATGTTGATTCACATACATGCAGGGTTCCAAAAATACTGAAAAGTCTCAGAATAACTGAACTGTTTGTTTTCCAATTTAAGCTTTAATTAAACATTTAATAAAGTTAAAAATTTAGTTCTTGATGTATGTTAGCCACACTCCAAATGCTAAATAGCCACATGTAGCTAGTGGCTACCATATCAAAAAGTACATATTTAAAGTAATTCAATTCAAATAAAGTATAGATTAATTCAAATTTATTGTAATTATTTTCATGGTTGAGTTTAACTACAATCTTGCTTTTTTACATATTTTTCCATTCTTTCTTTTTTTGAATTATTTTTACTCTCTAATATTACATTTTATCTCCATTATTGGCTTATTTGCAATACCTCTTTGTTTTACTTTTTAAAGGCTAGTGTATGGTTTTTTAAATGAATCTTTAAATTAATAAAGTCTATATTCAAATAATATTTTGCTTCTTTATGTATAACTGAACATCACACAGTATAATTACAATAGTGTGCTCCTTATATTTTGTGCTATTGATGTCAGGCATTCTCCCTTCTAGACATGTTGTAAACTTTACAGTACATTGTTATTTTCATTTTAAGTATTTTTCTTTCAAAAAAAATTTTTTAAACGGACAGAAAACTATTGCATATTTGCTCACAG
The DNA here is from genome assembly GCF_000001405.40 of Homo sapiens. Taxonomy (NCBI): domain Eukaryota; kingdom Metazoa; phylum Chordata; class Mammalia; order Primates; family Hominidae; genus Homo; species Homo sapiens. The sequence goes on along the minus strand of NW_019805488.1, from coordinate 123,003 downwards.
AATGACCATTTCTGGAGCTGTTCATTTCTTTTTATAAATCCAAGTTTTCATCTGGCATTGTTTTCCTTCAGCCTGAAGATATTTTTTATACTGTGGGTCTGTTGAAAACACATCCTCTCAGCTTTTGTCTGTCTGAAAAAAAAAAATCTTCATTCACTTTCATTTGTGAAAGTATTTTTGCTGGATATAGATTTTTTTTCTTTTCTCTTTTAGCACTTTAAAAATAATGTTCCATTGCCTGTAAAGTTCCTGTTGAGAAGCCTGGAGTCATTCATATCTTTGTTCCTGTATCCATAATGTGTCTTTTTGTCTGGGTGATTTTATAATTTCATAACTGTTTTTGTGTAGTTGGATTATATGCCTCCATGTGCTTTTGTTTTGTTTGTTGGTTTTTTTAGCCTACTTGTTGTTTTATATTTTTCTTGAATTTACTAGTTCATGATTTTTATCAACATTGGAAAAATTTTTATTCATCATTTTTCCAATTTTTTTCTCCCCATTTTAAGGAAATCCAAATACCCATGTGTTCGATTATTTGATACTGTCCCATTTTATACTGCTCATTTTCTTAGGTCTTTTGTTTTTATTTACTTCAATTTTGACCATTTCTATTAATAATAGAGTCATATTCACTGATCTTTTCTTCTGCAGTTTCTCATCTGCGATTAATCATATCTAGTTTTTTTCTTAAGCTATTATATTTTTCAGTTCTATAAGTTCTACATTGCTATTTTCATATCTTAATTTCTCTTCTCTTTATGTTTTTGTTTTCCTTTGAGCATTTTGGCATATTTACATTAGCTATTTTAAAGTTCTTGTCTGATAATTCCAAAATTTCTCTCATTTCTGGGTTCATTTATATTGACTAGTTTTTCCTGATTATGCATTTCAATTTCCTGCACTTGGCCAGATTCTGAACACTGCAAGTGCTTTACCATTGAGTGGCTGAATATTATTTTATTCCTTTAAATTCGTTGGCTCTTGTTTCTGTCAAGCAACAGATTAGCTTGAATCTTTGAGACACATTTTAAAAAGCAGTCCTTAATTATTCTTTAATCTAGAGGTGAGGTGCTATGTATTACTATCAGGTCCATCTTTGGTTCTCAACAGATTGCTTGAGTAATCAACAAGGTCTTGCTCTGGCTTGTCAGAGTTTAAATGTCCTCCTGGAATGTTTGACACTTTAGGAATTGTTCAATATTCAGCTCAGAAGTCATTGAAGTTTTATCATATCTATGCATAACTTAAAGTTCATGTTCAGCAAAGACTCAAGAGAATCCTTATGAAGATGTTTGGAGCTGTTTTTTTTTTTCTTTGTTTGTTTTTGTTTTTTGCTATATAACCTCCGGCTCACTGAAACCCTGTCCCACTACTTGTAACTCTCTCAATGTTCCTGATCTCTGATCTCTGGCTCTTCACTTCAGTAAGGCAGCCTCATTTTTCTTGGCATTCTGTTCCCACCCTTGCTAGAATGAAAGTCTGGGAAACCAGGCTCCACCATTATGTTTACTTTACTCTTGGGTGTCATGGTTCTGTGCTGGCTTTTGTATAATGTCTGAAAAGTGACTTCATACATTTTGTTCAGTTTTCAAATGTTTACAGCATGAGGCTGTATCCAATTTCTGTTTAACATGTTCAGACGTGAAAATCTGCTCGTTTACATGATTTTAATTAAACTCTTGCTTTCTTTTCTAAACCTCATCAAATACTTTATAGAAGAAAAAAAGGAAAAGGGTAATTGTAAAAGTTATTTAGCAATGGTACTTTCCCTGTGTATTCATAACTCAAACATGGCCAAATGCAAACTTAGAGTAAGAAATTACCAGATGAGAAAATGTTCATATTCATTGCTCAAAAGAATGGGAAGACTCATGAGTTAACAAGTATAATAAACATAAAAGATCTCTTACCTAATACATATCAAGGATTAATACTAAAAAATAAATAAGATTAATATATAGAATTGTGTCCGGAGTTCGTTCCTTCTGGTGGGTTCATGGTCTCGCTGACTTCAAGAATGGAGCTGCAAACCTCCACGGTGAGTGTTATAGCTCTTAAAGATGGCAGGGACCCAAAGAGTGAGCAGCAGCAAGATTTATTGTGAAGAGCGAAAGAACAAAGCTTCCACAACGTGGAAGGGGACCTGAGTGGGTTGCCGCTGCTGGCTGGGGGTGGCCAGCTTTTATTCCCTTATTTGTCCCCGTTTATGTCCTGCTAATTGGTCCATTTTACAGAGTGCTGATTGGCCCATTTTACAGTGTGCTGATTGGTCCATTTTACGGAGTGCTGACTGGCCTATTTTACAAACCTCTAGCTTGCTACAGAGCGCTGATTGGTGCATTTTTATGGAGCACTGGTGCATTTTACAATCCTCTTGTAAGACAGAAAAGTTCTCCAAGTCCTCAGTCGACCCAGGAAGTCCAGCTGGCTGCTTCACCTTTCAGAATCAGAGCCTTTTTTTGTTTTGTTTTGTTTCACTCTTGTCGCTCAGGCTGGAGTGCAATGGTATGATCTTGGCTCACTGAAGCCTCCACATCCCCAGTTCAAGCAATTCTCCTGCGTCAGTCTCCCAAGTAGGTGGGATTACAGGCATCCGCCACTTCGCCTGGCTAATTTTTTTGTGTTTTTAGTAGAGACGGGGTTTCACCATGTTGGTCAGGCTGGTCCTGAACTCCTGACCTCAGGTGATCCACCCACCTCAGCCTCCCAAAGTGCTGGATTACAGGCGTGAGCCACCGCACCCGGCCAGAATCAGATATATCTTTAATGGTTATCCAACTTAGAAGCAGGCCAAGGAAATTTATTGAGCTGCAAAAAGACAGGTTTATCTAATACATTCAAATAGAATAAATGTTAATAATTGTCTCAGTTCATTCAGGTGGCTTTACTATAAACTGGGTGGCTTATAAACAACAAGAATTTATTTCTCACAGTTCTGGGATCTGGGAATTCCAGGATGAAGGCCCTGAATGATTCTGAATCTGGCGAAGGCACACAAACATTTGGATCATAGTAATAATAATAAAGGATACTTACATAGATAAATTATGTCTAAACTTGCATATTATATACAGATTACAAAATTTCCACATTTTATCCAGACAACAAGCTGTAAGGAAGGCAAGGCGAAATTATCCCCAAAGTCAGAATTAAATTTGAGATAATTGATGTCAGAGACATTAGCATACAGAAGAAAAACTGGAAACCTGGTTGTCAGACAGACCTGTTTTCAAATGTATGTCATGGCAGTTACTGTGTGAGCCTCAACTGCACTATCTGAACAAAAACTAGAATACAAATAGCTATACAGCAGGAAATTTGGATCCAACCACTTTAACTCTGATGACAATGTGAATGAATCTGAGTATAATTTATTATGAATGCAAAACAAAATGAAGAAAATATGTCTTATTGGCATGACAGAAACCTAACAAAATTGATCTGGGTAAAATTAGATTTCATAGAACAAATAAGCTCAAAACAAAACAGGAGCTTAAAATGCAGAAGGCAATGAAAATTTATTGAAAATTTTAATTTTCTTTATAAAATTAGATCAGAAAAATCTGACCTGAGAAAAAAATAGACATGAGAGAAATAGTAGTCATGAATAAACTCACAACAGAAGTTGTGATGGGTAAAATTAACACATACCAAATTATTGTAAAATTTCTCATAAAGTAATAAGAACAAAAAATTAGGATTTATGTTTTCTGTATAGAATCTAGTTAAATGATTAGTGTATTGATGTTTGCTCTGGAAAATTGTTTCTCAATAAAAAGTCATCAATACTATAATTGTCATTTTTTAAAGTTCATAAACATAGACAAGAAAAACTTCTGCTTCATCACAATAAGCCAAATGTTTCATACATGAAACATTTCTAAGAATAATTCTTTATTAGTAGTGCCGTAACATACACAAAATTTTCTAGTACAGTGTCTGGCATAGGAAGCACAAAATATACATATGTTTTAGACTCAGAATAGCCCAGTGCACATTTTGGCTCCACTGTTCCGTTCTGTTTGACTGTGAGCAAATCGATTAACCTATTCAGTTTCCCCACTATAAAATGAGGACAATTTTAATAATAAATTGGAGATAATGCATGTATATTACTAGTATTATTTAAAACTTTGATTATTAATAATATTATTACTTTATTGCTTCAGAGAGCACAACTCTACAAAGATCTCTATCATGATTCAAGTATCCATGAGTCAGTTCCTGAAAACTTTGATTGAAATAGTTCTATGTTTTGCACCAATATGATACAATGTTAATTACTGTAGCTTTACTGTGATCTTGATATTTGGTAGAACATATAGTCCAATTTCGTTCTTTTCTCAGGGTGTCTCATCTGTTCTTGATCGTGTGCATAGCCATAGTAATATCAGACTAAGTTTGATAAGCCATATATACTTGCACACACCCACAAATATAGACTCTTAAGGTTTTAAAATTGAGATTGCACATACCCTGTAAATCAATTTAGAAAATATTGATACCCTTACAATATTGTTTCTTCCTAATCGTAAACATGCTATATTTAGGTATTCCTTATTTTCTCTTCATATAAGTTTCTGATTTTCTGTTGAGAAGCCCTGTATACCTTTTGTAGGGTTCATTCCAGGATATTTAATATCTTACACTATTATAGATGGTATCATTTAAAAGAAATTTTCTTTTGATTGCTATTATACAGTGAAACAATTGATAATATTAATATATATTATCATTGTATCATGCAAACTTGCTAACTCATTCACCCTAATTTTTATGGGTAGATTTATTTGCATTTTCTCCTTACATATAATCTATAGAAAGTTAAGTTTTGTTTCTTTTTTTCAGTCCTCAAACATATTATTTTTCTCTCCACTTAGTGTACTGACTAGAAAATCAGTAAATTGTTAAATAGAAGTGGAAGCAAAAATTACCATTGTCTTGTGCCCAATCGCAAAGAGAACAGTTTCAATGTTTTACTATTAGGTATATTTGCAATATAGTTTTTATATTTTCATAGATTGCTATTATCAAACGCTATTTCTCATCAGCATATTGATAATATGATTTGTCTTCTTTCTTCTGATTATGTAGCAAACTAAAAGAATTGATATTCTAATTTTATCCTATTCTTGTATGGAATAAATTCATCTTAGTCTGGGGTATTAAATTTGTTTTGCTAGGCTAGATTTTGTTTTCTATTATTTTGTGTAGGATCCTTACATGTATTGTCATTAATCAGCTGAGCTTATAGGTTTTCTTTCTTGTATTGTCCTTGTCAAATTTTGGTATCAAAGTGATATTAGCCACATGGAGCTTAGAAATATACTATTACTTTCTACAGAAAGTTTGTATAAGGCTGGTATTACCTTTCTAATTCTTTGGTAGAGCTTGCCATATGGACCTAGAGGTTTTTCTTATACAAAGTTTTAAAATTATGAGTTTAATTTCTTTAATAGCCAATAGAATATTTAGCTTTACCTGTTCTTTATTTATTTAAAATAAACTTTATTGTGTATATTTATGTTATATAACATGATGTTATGGAATACATATAAATAGTGAAAAGGTTACTATGGTGAAGCCAATTAACATATCCATTATCTCACGTGGTTACCCATTTTTTTTGTTTGTTTTTGTGGCAAGAATAGTTAAAATGTACTTATGTAGCATGAATTCAATATACAGTACAATGTTATTACCTACAAACCGTAGGTTGTACATTAGGTCTCTGAACTTATTTATCCTGCAAATATGCTGCCTTGTATTCTCTGACCTACATCTCTTATATCCTCCCCCCACCTTCTACCCTTGGTAACCACTGTTTTATTCTTCACCTCTGTAGATTTTAATTATTTTTTTAAGATTCCACATATAAGTGAAATGAAGCAATATTTTTCTTTCTATGTCTGCTTTATTTCATTAGAATAATATCCATCTAGGCTCATCCATGTTGCAGCAAATGGCAAGATCTCACTCTTTTTTAAGGCTGAATAATATTCCATTGTATATATGTATCAAAATTTATTTTTCCATTTGTCTATCTATGAACACTTAGATTGTTTTTCACCAAGATATAAAAACAAATTTTCCTGAAAATTTGCCTATCTATGAACACTTATACTGCTTTTATATCTTGGCTATTGTGAATAATACCACAATAAACATGGGAAGATAGATATATTTACAAGGTGTTGATTTCAATTTTATTCATTATATGCCCAGAAAAAGTGTTGTTGGATTATATGGTGGTTCTATTTTTAATTTCTTTAGAAACTTCCATACTGTTTTCCAAAATGGCTATACCAATCTACATTCTCACCAACAGTGTACAAGAATTCCCTTTCTCCACAATCTCACCAACATTTGTTATCTTATTGACTTTTGGGTATTAATAATAGTCATCTATTTGCATTTTTTGATTTAATGATACTGGGTACATTTTCATATACCTATTGGCCATTTTTATATCTTCTTATAAGAAGGTTTTTCAGGTATTTTGATCATTTTATATTGAATGTTTTTACACTATTGAGTTGTATGAATTCTTTATAAATTTTGGACACTCATCCCTTTATCAGATATAATCATACCTTGTATTAATGAACTTCTCTTTATTGTGCTTCACAGAGAGTATTTTGACAAAATCCTTACAAATTGAAGGATGTAGCAACCCTTCATTGAGCAAGTCCATTGGCATGGTTTTTTTTGTACTGCATGTGCTCACTTCATGTTGTTGTGTCATGTTTTGATAATTCTTGCAATATTTCACACTTCTTTCTCACGTTTGTTATGGTGATGTATGATCACTGATATTTGATGTTTCCATTGTAATTGTTTGAGGGATCACAAACTGTGCCAGTATAAGACAGGAAACGTCTTTGATAAATGTTACCTGTGTTCAACATGTGTTCTGACTGCTGTACTGACTAGCTGTTTCCTCTTCTCTCTCTGTTCCTCAGGCCTCCTTATTCCCTGAAACACAGTAATATTGAAATTAGGCCTATGAATAACCACACAGTGGTCTCTAAGTGGTCAAGATAAAGGAAGAGTTGTACATTCTCACTTTAAATCAAATACTAGAAATGATTACGCTTATTGAGGAAGGCATGCCAAAATTTGAGATAGGCTGAAAGCTAGGCTTCTTGTGCTAAATCATTAGCCAAGCTGTGAATGCAAAAAAAAAAAAAAGAAAGAAAAAGTTTAATGAGGAAATTAAAGTGCTATGCCAGTGAACACATGCTAAGAAGGCACAACAGCCTTCTTCCTGATCTAGAGAAGGTTATTGGTCTGGATTGAAGATCAAAGCAGTCACCCCATTCCTTTAAGTCAAAGCCTAATCCAGAACAAGGTCCTAACTCTTGCCAATTCTATGCAAGTTAAGAGAGGTGAGGAAACTTGAGAAGAAAATGCTGAATCTAGCAGAGGTTCATGAGGTTTAAGGAAAGAAGGCATCTTCATAACATAACATTGCAAGACAAAGCAGCAAGTGCTAATGTAGAACCTGCATCAAGTTAACCAAAAGATCTAGATAAGATAATCAAAGAAGGTGGCTACACTGTATAACAGATTTTTAATGTAGGCAAAACAGCATTCTGTTGATAAAAGATGCCATCTAGGACTTTCATAACTAGAGATGGGTACTAAATGACTGGTGTCAAAGTATCAAAAGACAGGCTGACCCTCCTGTTATGAGCTAATGCAGCCGGTGACCCTAAGTGGAAGCCAATTCTCATTTACCATTCTGAAAATCTTACGGCCTTTAAAAATTATGCTAAATCTACTCTGTCTGTGCTCTATGAATGGAACAACAAAGCCTGGATGACAGCACATCTGTTTACAGCATGGCTTATTAAATATCTGAGACCTACTATTGAGAGCTACTATTCAGGAAGAAAAGCATTCCTTTCAAAATATTACTGGTCATTGACAATGTACCTTGTCAACCAACAGCTCTGATAGAAATTTACACAGAGATTCATGTTGCTTTTATGCCTGCTACCACAACAGCCATTGTGTAGCTCATTAAACAAGGAGTAATTTGGACTCTCAAGTCTTATTATTTAAGGCTTTATTATCGATAAGGCTGTAGCTGCCATGAATAGCTATTTCTCTGGTAGATCTGAGAAAAGTCAATTGAAAACGTTCTTGGAAAGATTCACCATTCTGAATGCATTAAGAATATTTGAGGGCTGGGCGTGGTGGCTCATGCCTGTAATCCTAGCACTTTGGGAGGCTGAGGCGGGTGAATCACAAGGTCAGGAGTTCAAGACTAGCCTGACCAATGTGGCGAAATCCTGTATCTATTAAAAATACAAAAATTAGCTGAGTGCGGTGGTGCATGCCTGCAATCTCAGCTACTCAGGAGGCTGAGGCAGGAGAATTGCTTGAACTCAGGAGGCAGAGGTTGCAGTGACCTGAGATTGTGCCACTGCACTCCAGCCTGGGCGACAGAGTTAGACTCTGTCTCAAAAAAAAAAAAAAAGAATATTTGTGATTCATGAAAGGGGATAAAAAATATCAAAATTAACAGGAGTTTGGAAAAAGTTGATTCCAACCCCCATGGATGATTTTGAGGGATTCAAGACATCCATGGAGGAAGAAGTTACAGATGTGGTGGAAATAACAAGATAAATTAGAAGTGGAGCCTGAAGATGGGACTGAATTGCTATAATCTAACGTTCAAAATCAAACAAATGAGAAGTTGCTTCTTATGAATAAGAAAAGAAACTGGTTTATTGACGTAAAATCTACTCTTGGGGAAGGTGATGCAAATGTTGTTGAAATGACAACCAAAAATTTAGAATATTACATAAACTTAGCTGATAAAGTAGCAGCAGGGTTTGAGAGGATTAACCCCAATTTTGAGAAAAGTTCTACTGTGGATAAAATGCTGTGAAACAGCATCACTTGTTACAGAAAACTTTTTCATGAGAGAAAAAGCTAATATATATGGCAAATTTCATTCCAGTCTTATTTTAAGAAATTTTCGTAGCCACCCCAACCAACCTTCAGGAACTATCACCCTAATCAGTCAGCAGACACCAACATTGAGGCAAGACCCTCCACCAGCAAAAAGATTACAATTGGCTGAAAGTTTAGATAACTTTCAGCATTTTTAAATAATGAAGTATTTTAAAGTAAAGTATGTACATTGATTCAGACATAATATTATTGCACATTTAATTGACTACAGTATAAGCATAAGTACTACATGCACTGGGAAACCAAAAAATTCATGTGACAAATTACATTTTTTCTCTCTTTAGTACTCTTGCTAGTATTTCCAGCACACTATTGAATAGAAGTCATGAGAGTGGACATCCTTGCTTCTTACTGGGTCTTAGTAGGAAGCTTTCAATTTTTCCACATTGAGTAAAATTTTAACTATGGTTCTATTTGCCCATTCTTGCACTGCTATCAAGAAATACCTGACACTGGGTAATTTATTAAAAAAAAAGAGATTTAGTTGGCTCGTGGTTTTGCAGGCTGTACATGAAGTGTAGCGGCTTCTGCTTCTGGAGAGGCCTCAGAAAACTTACACTCATGGCAGAAGGCAAAGGGAAAGCAGGTGCATCTTATATGGCCAGAGCAGGAGCAAAAGAGAGAAGACAGAGGAGCTACACACTTTTAAACAACCAGATCTCATGAGAATGCTATCACTATATAGTAATAAGGGGGAATGGTAATAAACCATTCATGAGAATTTCACTCCCATATCTAATCACCTCCCACCAGGCCCCACCTCCAGCAATGGGACATTTCAACATGAGATTTGGGTGAGGACACAGATCCAAACCATATAATTCCACTCCTGGACCCTCTCAAATATCATGTCCTTCTTACATTTCAAAATACAATCATGTTTTCTCAAAGTCCCCTGAAGTCTTAACTCATTCCAGCATTAACTCAAAAGTCTATAGTCCAAAGTGTTATCTGAGAAAGGGCTGGTCCCTCCTGCCTATGACCCTGTAAAATAAATAAAAAACAAAACAAGGTAGTTACTTCCAAGATAAAATGAGGATATAGAGATTGGATAAATACTTCCATTCCAAAAGGGAGAATTGGCCAAAACAAAGGGGCTACACTCCCCACTCAAGTCAAAAACCCAGCAGGTCAGTCATTAAATCATAAAGTTCCAAAATAATTTCCTTTGACTTCATGTCTCATATCAAGGCCACACTGGTACAAGGTGTGGGCTCCCAAAGCTTTGGGCCCTTGTGTAGTTCTGGCCCTGTGGCTTTGCAGTGTTTGTCGCCTGCCTCCAGCTGTTCTCATGGGCTAGCATTGAGCATCTGCAGCATCTCCAGATGCATGATGCAAGCTGCCAGTGATTCTACCATTCTGGGGTCTGGAGGATGATGGCCCTCTTCTCATAGCTCCACTAGGTAGTGCCCCAGTGGGGACATTGTGTAGGGGCTCCAACCCATATTTGCCCTTTACACTGCCCTAGTAGAGCTTCCCATGAGAGCTGCATCCCAGCAGCAGACTTCTGCTTGGACATGCAGGTTTTCCATACATTCTCTGAAATCTAGAGAGAGGCTCCAAGCTTCACCTCTTGCACTCTGCTTACCCACAGGTTTAACACCACATGGAAGCCACAGAGGCTTACAGTTTGAACTCTCTAAAGCAGTATCTTGAACTGTACTTGGGCCTCTTTGAGCCAAGGCTGGATCTGGAGCAGCTGGGACGCAGGGAGCAGTGTCTCGAGGATGTACAGGAAGGCAGGGCCCTGGGCCTGGCCCTCAAAAGCATTATTCCCTCCTAGGCCTCTGGGTCTGTGATAGGAGGGGCTGCCACAAAGATCTATGAAATGCTTTTGAGGCCTTTTCCCCATTGTCTTGAATGTTAGCACTTGGCTCCTTTTTTCTTGTGCAAATTTATACAGCCTGCTTGAATTCCTCCTCTGAAAATGGGCTTTTCTTTTCTACTACATGGCCAAGCTGCAAATTTTCCAAATTTTTATGTTCTGCTTCCCTTTTTAATGTAAGTTCCAGTTTTTGGTCATTTCTTTGCTCACACATATAAACATAGGTTGTTAGAAGCAGCTAGGCCACATTTTGAATGCCTTGCTGCTGAGCAATTTCTTCTACCAGATACCTTAAATCATCACTCTCAAGTTCAAAGTTCCACAGATCTCTAGGGCGTGGGCATAATGCACCCAAGCTCCTTGCTAAAGCATAACAAAAATGACTGCTCCACTTCCCAATAAGTTTCTTATTTCTATCTGATATCTTATTAGCCTAGTTTTCACTGTCCACATCACTATCAGCATTTTGGTCACAACCATTCAACAAGTCTCTAGGAAGTTTCAAGCTTTCTGTCATCTTATTGTTTTCTTCTAAGCTCTCCACACTCTTCCAACCTTTGCCCATTACCCAGTTCCAACATTGCTTCCACATTTTCAGGTTTCTTTATAGCAATGCCTAATTCCTCAATTATCTGTGTTAGGTTGTTCTAGCATTGCTATAAAGAAATATCTGAGACTGGGTAATTTATAATGCAAAGAGGTTTAATTGGCTCATGATTTCCTAAGCTGTGTAGAAAGTACAGCAGCTTCTGCTTCGGGGAAGCCTCAAGGATCTTTCACTCATGCTGAAAGGCAAAGTTGGAAAAGGCATCCTACATGGCAGGAGCAGGACCAACAGAGAGACGGGGGAGATGCTGCACACTTTTAAACAATCAGATCTCATGAGAACTCTCTCATTATGCAGTACCAAGGGGGGACTGGTGCTAAACCATTCATGAGAATGCCACCCACATGATTCAATCACCTCCTATCAGGCTCCATCTCTAACACTGGGAATTACACTTCAACATGAGATATGGGTGGGAACACAGTTCCAAATCATAACAACAGGTTTTCATAAATGACATTTATCATGTTGAAAAACTTTCCTTCTATACCTAAACTGTTGAAGGTTTTAATTAAGAAAGAAGGTTGGATTTTGTTGAATGCTTTTTTTTGCATCAATTGAAATAATCATGTAGTTTCAAGTTTTCATTATGTTAATGTGATATATCACATTGATTAATTTGCCTATGTTAAATTAGCCTTGCATGTCAGAGATAAATATTACTTTGTCATATAATATTTTAAATACATTGTTGGATTTCATCTGCTAATATTTTGTAGATAATTTTTGCATCAATGTACATCAGATAAATTGACCTGTAGTTTTCTTTTCTTGTGACGTGTTTTTTTAACTTAGGAATCAAGGTGATGCTGGATTTATAAAATGAGTTTGAAAGCATTCCCTCTAGCTCTATTTTTCAGCAGTTTTTAGAATTGTTGGAAATTATTAAAGTTTTCTTTGAATGTTTCGTGGAATTCTGCTGTAAAGCGGTCTGGTCTTAGGCTTTTCTTTGTTGGAAAGATTTTTACAACTTCATTATCTCCTATTTGTTTTTATATGTTCACACTTTTTATTTCTTTCTGGTTCAATCTTGGTAGGTTGTATTTTTCTATTAATTTATTAATTCCCTAGATTATCCAATTTGCCAGCATATAATTGTTCCTAATAGTCCCTTATGATTTTTTTATTTCTGAGATATGTATTATGAAATTTACACTTTCATTTTTAATTTTGTATTTGACCCTTCTCTATTCTTTTCTTAGTCTAACTAGGGGGTTGTCAATTTTGTTTTTATTTAAAAAAATCAAGTGCTGGTTTGATTGATTCTCTCTGTATTTTTTCTGTTCTCTATTTGATTTCTTTCTGATAATTTTGGGTTTAGTTTGTTCTTTTGATTCTTTAGGCATAATGTTATGCTATTTATTTAGAATGTTTCTTCTTTTTTTAATGTAGGCATTGATTGATATAAACATCACTCTTAGAATTGCTTTTGCTACATTTCATGGGTTTTGGTACGTTGTGTTTCCATTGTTGTTGGACTCCATATATTTTTAAATATTTCTTTTGATTTCTTTCTTTACTCATTGGTTGTTCAGAAGTGTGTTGTTTAATTTCCACATATTTGTGAATTTTCCACAATTCACCATGTTATTTATGTTTAGTTTTGTATCTTTGTGATATGAAATGGTACTAGATATAATTTCAAACTTTTAAAATTTGTTAAGACTCATTTTGTAGCCTAACATATGTTCTATACTGGAGAGTGTTTCATGTGCACTGAAGAAAAATGTGTGTTCTGCTGTTGTTGGAGGTAAAGTTTTGTAAGTGTGTTTTAGGTCCATTTGTTCAAAAATACAATTCAATTTAGTATTACCTTATTAATTTTCTAACTGGTTGATTTATTCATTGTTCAAGGAGGCTTATTGAAGGCCCCTACTTTATTGTATTGCTATCTCTCTTTTCCTTCACATTTATTAATATTTGCTTTATGTATCTAGGTGCTCCAATGTTGGGTGCATGTATATTTACAGTGGTTATGTCCTCACAATTAATTTACCTTTTTATCATTAAATAGAGACCTTCTTTGTCTCTTGTGATAGATTTTGACTTGAAACCTATTTAATCAGATATAAGTATAGCCACTTCTGCTCTCTTGTAGTTGCCATTTACATGGAATATCTTCTTTCATCCTCTCACTTTTAGCCTATGTGTATTCTTAAAGTTTACATGAGTCTCCTGTATGCAGCATATAGTTAGTTCTTGTTTTCCTATGCATTCAGCCACTCTATGTCCTTTGATTGGAAAATTTAATCCATTTACATTCAAGGTTATTATTGGTAGGTTAGCACTTACTACTGCCATTCTGTTAATTTTTCCTTGTTGTTTTGTATCTCCTTTTTCCCTTTTTTCCTCTCTTGTTGTCTACCTTTATAATTTTATAATATTCTGTAGTCCTATGCTTAAATTCCTTTCTCTTTATCATTTGCATATCTGCTACAGTTTTTTGTTTTGTTTTGTTACAATGAGGTTTGCATAAAATATCTCATACTTGTAATCTACTGTTTTAAGCTGATAACAACTTAACTTCTGTGACATACAAAAAATTCCAGACTTTTACCCTTCCCTTCACAATTTATGTTTTTATGTCACAATTTACATCTTTTTATAGTGTGTGTTTCTTAATAACTTATTGTAGCTTGATTTTTTACTCTTTTGACCTTTAGACTTCATACTAGATGTATGTATGATTTACACAGCATCATTGTAGTACTGGAGTATTCTGGATTTGACTACATATTTAATTCTAACAGTGAGTTTTATGCTTTTATATATATACATGATAACAATTATTGTCCTTTCATTTCTGCTTTAAGAACTCTTAAGCATTTCTTATAAGGCTGATCTAGTGGTAACAAATAACCTGAGCTTTTGCTTCTCTGAGAAAGTCTACTTTTTTTTTTTTCACTTCCGAAGCACAGCTTTGATGGGAATAGTATTCTTGATTGGCAGTTTTTTTTTCTAGCACTTTGAATATATCATCTCATTCTTTTCTGACCTGCAAGGTTTCTGCTGAGAAAACTGCTTATGATTTAATGAGGATTTCCTTATATGTGAGTTGATGCTTTTCTCTTGCTGCTTTTCAACTTCTTTCTTTGTCTTCGACTTTTGATGTTGTGATTTTAATATGTGTTGGAGAAAATCTCTTTGCATTGAATGTATTTTGGGGACTTTTGAGCTTCATAGATGTCCATGTCTTTCCCAAGACTTGAGAAGTTTTCAGAAAGTACTTCATTAAATAAGCTTTCTGTTTCTTTCTCTATCTCTTTTCCTTCTTTTAAACTCTCACAATGTGAAACTTTGTTTGCTTAATGGTATCTCATAAGTCCTGTAGGCTTTCACTATTTTTTATTCTTTTTTTCTTTCTTTTATTTCTTTTTTCTTTTCTTTTGAATAAGTCAATTCAAAAGACCTTCTTCAGGTTCACAGATTCTCTCTTCTGTTGCATCTAGTCTGCTGTTGAAGCTCTCAATTATATATATATATATATATATTATATATAAATATAATATAAATAAATATAATAAATATATATAATTATATAGAGGGTGCAACAGCAACTGGCTGAGGGGAATGTAGGGGATCTGCAGTAGCTTGGCTCTAAGGGGCAAAGGCTCCAAGCATTACCTTTGCTTGGAGATGGAACACTACTCAGTGGGCATGGTGCAGTGGCAGCTTAGCCTCTGAGATGGAGGGATGTGTTGGCTGCTAATCTCTGTATTAGGATGCACTCTAGCAGTGGCTCTGGTTCTAAGATGGTGCAGAGAGGTGGCCGCATGGGCCACAGGGATGAGGGTGGGACACAGTGTCAGTTCCTTCTCTAGGGGTAGCTCAGCACATTTACTCTCGGGAGCTTCCCCAGCTGGGCTCAGAGCCTCCGAGGACTACAGGAGTCTCCAGTAGTGAAGATGCAGGTGCCTGTGATGATAATGGGCGCTGTGAGGTCCTCTTGTTTACCTTCTCCTTGCAAAGCGAAGTCCCTTCTGGTTCCAAGCTGATTCTGACTTACGGGAATGAGGTGGCAGAGGCAAAGTGTCTCCTTTCCTTCCATGTGTGACCATCCTGAGTTTCTGTGCTCTACAAGATTTCTGCAGCTTCTTTACTATTATCCAGTGCTCCTTTAGTTATTTTGGATAAAGCGTAGTTTTTTTTGTAGTTTTGGAATTTCTTTTTATGGGAATGAAGACCACAAGGAGCTTCTAGTCAGCCATCTTGCTGATGTCACTGTTACTAGTTACTTCTTGTGTCTATCTTTTAATATTATGCTTTCCTAAAATGTTGCCTATTTCGTCTAAATTTCCAGACATAATTTTTCATAATAATTTATTATCTTTTTAATACCTGCTAGCTTTTAGAGACAAAGTACTTTTACTTTTTAATTTGTTACAAGTTATTTATGCCTTCTAACCCCTTTCCCCTCTTTTTAAAATCATTTTGCCAGATGTTTGCTTTTAGTCTTTTCAAAGAATTAACACTTCAATGTATTAATCATCTCTTTATATTTTTTTCAGTTTATTATTCAGCTTTCATCTACATTATCTTTCCTTTTTTTATTAAAGTTTTCTTTGCTGTTTTATTTCTAACATCTTTAGATGGACGCTTAGCTCCTTACACTTCGAGCCATCCTTATTTCCTAGTGCATTACTTTAAGGCTATAAATTTTCATCTATTACTATTTTAAAAGTGTCCCCGGTTTTTTGTGTAACACACTTTTATTATCATTCAGTTTAAGACATTTTATAATATCTGTTGTTATTTCTTTTTATTTAAGGTTTAGATAACATTCATTTCTTATTTAGCAAATAGAGTTTTTCTAGAGGCTGTTTGTTGTAGTTGCCTAGTTAAATTTCATTGTGGTCAGAGAACATATTCTATATTTTATCAATCCTTTGGAAATTGTAGAGATTTTCTTTATGGATGAAAATAGAGTCAATTTTGTGAATATTCCTTTTTTGCTTGAAAAGAATGTGGGTCTTAAGATTGTTGTATGTTATATTCCAATATAAATTTATTTGTTCAATATTAATTATTTTGTTAACATAAACATTTATAAAAGTAATATTTTTCAAAATATAGCATTATTTTATATTTTTATAAAACTCTTTAATTTTGACTGTTTGAATATAGCTAAATTCTCATATCTGTTTCTGCATTCAACCTGTTGCAATATGTTGTTTTGGTTTAAGTGCATGAAGACAATTGGGCCTCATCTAGTTAGGCAGTTGGAAAATAGAGTAAGTTGGATGACCATTAGTTGTCAGATCATATTTTAAGAATGCCTGGTCTAGTTCCATTATTTCATTAGATACCACAAAATACTAATTTTCTAATTTTACCAATACCTCAGTATTGAAAAATCTCCTTTGTATTCTCTTTTAATATCTGATTTATTTTTTATCATCTATTCAAAACAATATATTTTCTGCCATCTCTCTTTACTCTTGTGTTAATTCTAATCTTTTCCCTGATTATTAAACTTAACTTATAATTATTTCCCAAATTCTTTTAACTGTCTTTCATGTCCTTATTTCTCATTTTTTCCAATCTTTCTACCAGATATCCTATTTTTCTTTCATAATCCCTGTTTACTCCTATAGAAATACTAGTTTATAGGTTTTCCCTGCATTATGACACATTTTTCCGGTGTGTCTCCATTTCCTACAGGTGTTTGATTCTCATTATCCTCTTTTATTCTTCTAGTATTTACTATGGGTTTGAATGTAATCCTTTTTTATTCTTTATGTCTAAATCAGATGAATTTTGTTATAATTTTAGAAGTTTAAGCCAGAAAAGGATTTCTCATTTTATGGCTCCAGGGCTGCTTCTTTGGGGGTGTGATGAAAATATTATTGCTACTGCTGCCAGGGGTGCTGCCAGGAGGAAGCTCTGAGCTACCAGCCTCTTAGGGGATTAGCACAGCTACGGAAAACCACTTTGCTCACATTCACTCCCCTCCCTGGAGTGATCTAAAACCAATTAGGATGACGGGGAGGCCGAGCATGGTGGCTCATGCCTGTAATCCCAGCACTTTGGGAGGCCAAGGCGGGAGGATCACGAGGTCAGGAGATCAAAACCATCCTGGCTAACACGGTGAAACCCCTTCTCTACTAAAAATACAAAAAAAAATTAGCTGGGCGTGGTGACGGGCGCCTGTAGTCCCAGCTACTGGGGAGGCTGAGGCAGGAGAATGGCGTGAACCCAGGAGGTGGAGCTTGCAGTGAGCCGAGATTGCACCACTGCACTCCAGCCTGGGCGACAAGGCGAGACTCCGTCTCAAAAAAAAAAAAAAAAAAAAAAAAAAAAAAAAAAAAAAAAAAAGGATGAGGGTGGGAATTAAAACCCAGCTCCGAACAATTCCTGAAGGGCTTTTCTTGCTGCAGAGCTCCCAGTGTGGGCAGCTGAGGCTATTGCGCTGACATTGCAGCTTGATAGCTCCCTGTATCCAGCCCCACTTCCTTCCCTCCCTTTCACAAGTATTGATCCCAAAGGATCCCCCTTCATAAGCATCCAGTGTGCTAAATCCCGTCTCAGAGCTTTCTTCTAGGACCCAACCTGAGATGTGACAACTAATATTGAGAAAGTAGTCTGTCACTTTACCAGAATTTCTGCCACCTGCTTTCTCTCAAGTTTTCCTCAAATGGTATCGAAAACTTGCCTTCCTTTTACCCCAAATCTGTTTTATTCCTCAAGCAATTTGTATTTTACTTCAAGTCGTCTGTCTCTGTTGTCAAGTCTCTGTCCTTTCGTTGAGTATTTCAGTAGCTGTGAAGTCCCAGGTAACCCCTCATGGTCAGTCCTTCCTAGAGAATCTTGTACTCACCTACCAGTTTGGATTGCTGTTCTCAGATCCACCAGTTAATTTCTTTACTCCCAGTGGGGGGGCTTTGTTTGGAGTGGTGAGGACTTAGCATTGCTCAGAGCCGTCTTCTCTTTCTTCCCTTTGTTCTCACACCACTGCTGACCTGGTGGTTTGCCCCAGTCTCCTTGATGCATATTCATCAGGTCTTATTCAACACATTATTTCCATCGTTTTGTTCTGCTATCCTGGTTGCTCCATCCATTTTTTTTGGAGGATTTGTGGAGGTTTTAGTAGAGCTCCAAAGATATGCTTCTGCTATCTTCTTAGCATTTATCAGAAGGTGATATTTCTTGATACATTCTAAATCCGGACACCTCTTAGGGAGTTTCCTTGCTTTCTTTTCTTAATCTCCTTAGTGATCTTCCCGCTTCACTCTGACTCCTGCTCACATCATTTCCCATTCCTTGTGGAACTTCCTCTTTTGGGTTCTGCCACTGCCAGTCTACCACTTGTCTTCTCATTTTTTCCTGCTTGTCTCAGTTTTTGGTTTTTTTCTGTTTGGTGTTGCTTGGCTATATGAACATATAATTTAGATTTTCCTCCACTCATTTTGTTTTCTTGTTTAGTTTATTTGAGAAAAAGTAGAGCCATTATTTCTGATACCATAGGTTCCTAAAATGTGGAGGCAGAGTCCAACTCTTATTTGACACAGTTATTTTACCTTTTACTTTTATTATAGGTAGCTAGCAATTGTGTAATTTTTCACTTCACCTTCCATTGTTGAGAATTCCATTTTACCGCATTTAAATAAAAATTCAAATTCTCAGTTGATAAGTGGTTACTGATATGAAACATAGCTACTCACACAAACCACTAGTGGCTAGAGCCCTTGGAGGGAAAGGCAGAAGTGGGTCTAATTTGAGGTAGCCCGATTATCTCCTTTTACAGTCTATCCCTGTCAATAAGTAGGCCAGGTATTCAATTTAGTCTCTTGAAGTGAGATAAATGTCTCATCAAATGATTTATATCAACATTCAGAAGCGTTTACCTAAGCGAGTGCTACATATAAAGACTATTTATGATTTTATAACAGATGAGAGCTGTCTGAAATAAGCATGCAGCCTGTACCATAGGCATACATCATTCCATTTTTAGAACTTCTGAAATATCCTTTGTGTATGTGTATTCAACACATACACACACATAATGTATATGTGTATTGTGTAGTTTTCTAACTAAATTAAAACATTCTCCTATGTACTCACCTTATCACTCAAGAAAAACAAAATTACCAGTAGCCTTGAAACCCAGTGTGCGTGCTACACAATCACATGCTCCACTCACTTTTTACAGAGATAACTATTATTCTAAATATGTTTTTTTAAATACATTCTTCCATATTTTTCATTTGCAAATGAGCTTTCTTGTCCATGTTTCCTGATGAACATGTACAAGAGTATTCTGGATTTTAAAGTATGCGATTGTTATATTTAGATAATGCAAGATACTCTTCCAAAGTGCTTTTAAAAATCTCCTGTCACAAGGAACGTGTAGGGGTCAATTTCTACAAATCCTTGCTTGTGCTTGGTACTGCCACATTAAATTTCTTTGGGACAAATGAACATTTTACTGATTACCAATATTTAAGCATCTTTTCTTATTATTGTTGTCCTTTGTGTTGGCAAGCCAGGCAAACTTCTTTGCTTCAACAAGAAGAAAATCATAAGCTTCAAAGCACACGCTAATAGAGATGGATAGCCCTGGTGGGCTCTATGATGGGCCCTACAGTCAGTGAGGCAACCTACCCACGTATATGCTGTCTTCCCTCTGAAGCCTGAAAAATACTGCACTCACTCATAATTTTGAATATGCCACTTGCATTTTGTTAACAAATGTTACTGGCCTTTTCTTCTCTCTTTTATTCTGACATCTTTCTTTTTAGTGTGATTGATATTTCTGATGTAAGAATCATGGTGCTCTTCCATGGTAGGGGTAGTTTTGATCAGTGCCCCATAACAAGCTAGTAATTTTCCTCTAAATGAGCTATCATGAGTATTTGTATCAGGGACATTTGTATATCAACACCTGAGAGTAGCCTTTTGCGGAGTTTCTGCCCAAAACTCCAGTCTGGGTACATTTTATTAGTAGTTTCTCCAGACTAGCCTTCTTTGGTTTCTGCCCAAAACTCGAGTCTGAGTATATTTTGCTTTCTAGCATGTCTAGCATCATCTGAGCAATCAAGTACACTAATAAGAGCCAAGTTGGATTGCCTGTGCTATGATCCTTAGGAATATTTTAAGGCATATTTTCTAAACAGCCATCCTCCCATCCAAATTCAGATTTGTTTCTGCTGATTTTGTTTATGGACCAACAAGATTCCTGGATGAGAAATATAATTTCACCAAAACCCCAAATTCTTAGCTGTCTCTGAGTTTCCCAATAGTGACTTGGTCTGTGAGAAACAGTAGCTTGTTTCTCACAGTTTAAGGAATGATTCTAAATTTAAGAGCTCATGCAATCCTCTAGAACTTCACAAACTTTGCAAAGCCCTGAATTTTAGTTGGATGCATCAGCTACACAGGGTGACTGTAGTCATCAACCTCTCCTTTACGCCTTCCTCTCCGAAGCCAGCTGTCAAGATATCACAGTTGTAGTGTCTAACTTGCACTTAATTTTTGTCAGTGTAAATCCTGCCTAAGTGATGGCAAAACAAACACAACACTCAAAACTTAATAGCACATAAACCTAAAAAGGAACAAAATATTTGAATACACACTATACCAAAGAAAATATACTATTGCAAATAAGTACATTAAAATATGTTCAACTTTTTTTTTTTACAGGAATGTAAATTAAAACTGTAATGAAATACAACTACATGCCAACTGGAATGGGTAAACATAAGACTGGCCATGTCAAGTGTTGGTGAGAAAATGGAGCAAGTAGAATTCTCATACACTGCTGGTGGGAATGTATAATGATGCAACCACTTTGGAAATTAGTTTGTCATTTTCTTTTTTTTTTTTTTTGAGACAGAGTCTTGCTCTGTTGACCAGGCTGGAGTGCAGTGGCACAATCTCGGCTCACTGCAACCTCCACTTCCCAGGCTCAAGCAATTCTCCTGCCTCAGCCTCCTGAGTAGCTGGGATGATAGGCGTGTGCCACCATGCCCGGCTAATTTTTGTATTTTTAGTAGAGACAGGGTTTCACCATGTTGGCCAGGCTGGTCTCCAACTCCTGATCTCAGGTAATCCTCCAGCCTCGGCCTCCCAAAGTGCTGGGATTACAGGCGTGAGCTACCGTGCCCAGCTAGTTTGTCATTTTCTTAAACAAATGATATGTACTCTACTATACAACTCAGTCATTCCACTCCTCTATGCTTATTTGAGAGAAATGAAGTATGGGTGCATACACAGGAATGATGTGAATCATCATATTAGCTTTTTGTGTAGTAGCCAAACGCTAAAAACAAGCAAAATGTCCATTGAGAGGTGAAGGAATGAACAAATTGTGGTATATCCGCACAATAAAATACCACCCAGGAATGAAAAGAACAAACTTTTGATAAATGGAATACATGTATCAGTTTCAAAATAATTATGCTTAAACTATCCAGGCACTAAAATAATAGATGTTGTATGATTAATTTATATTAAATTCTAGAAAATATAATTTATAATGACAGAAAGCAGATCAATTGTTGCCTGTATAGGTGGAGACAAACAGCTAATACTATTGGTTGAATAAATAGGTTAATGGTTTCAATGATTACTAGTATAGGGATTAGTGGAATGGGAGAGATGAATTGCAAATGAGGAAACTTTGGGAAGTAATGGTTATTTTTACTATTTCGCTTACGGCGATCTTTTCTTCAGTTGTATGCATTATGTCAAACTTATCAAGGTGCACACTTTAAATGTGAAGTTTATTGTATTACAATTATATCTCAATAAATCAGTTTTTATAATATATCAAATCAACCCCTTCTTTAATCAGAACAATGATCTCTAATTTCTCTCCTGGTATTATAATACATTTTTTCTCTTATATAGCTTAACATATAGTGCCAAAGAAGGCTTGAGCATTTTCAAATGTTTCCATCCAGAATGGCTAATTAACACCAGCTCAAAAATGAATTTAAGCAATGTACCCTTTGAAGATAGCAAGGGCAAAATTCTTCATTCACATATAATATGTATCATTATATATCATATAATATATATTATATATATATCACATATAATTCACATATAATATATATCAAAATGTATCTTCAGGCCATTGTTAGTAATTCAACCCACATGTCAAGTCACATCTTCATGACATCTCCTTATCGCTCAGTCTCACTTTTTAGACCCTTAGAATGGCGTCCTTACTCCTTACAGGATATACACTAATGGGTATACAACAAGCACTGATCAAGCCACCCTAAAAGGTGATGCAACCACCCCTAAAACTGAAGTTCTGAAATCTATTTTGAAACTAACATTATTTCCATCTTACATTTGTAGATAATTTTAGGTTTTATGTATGTTTTAATTGTTTTTTCCTAACATGGGAATATAATCTGCTAGTCTCTTGGTTGTTTGAGGAGAGAGATTCCTTCTTCTATGTTGCTATCCATAGAGATTAATATTGTTTCCAAATCATGGTAGGAAGACTTTTCTTGATTGCTAAATAAAACAACTGTAGTAGATACTGTTGACTTTTTAACTGTTATTTTTAATTGTGGCAAAATATGCATAATTTAAAATGTATTATCTTTAACCATTTTGAAGTATACAATTTAGTAGTGTTAAATGCATTCACATTGTTGTGTAGACAGTCTTCGTAACTTTCATCTCGCAAAACTGAAACTGTATACTCATTGAATAGCAACTCCACATTCTCCTTTTCCCCCCAGCCCCTAGCAACTACCATTCTACTTTTTGTCTCTATGTATTTGAATACTCTAGGTACCTCATATAGCCTAATGTCATCAAGGTTCATCTATGTTGTAGCATGTGTCAAATTTTCTTCCCTTTTAAGGCTGACTAATATTCTACTGTTTATATACAGTGCATTTTGTGTATCTATTCATCCACTGATGGACACTGGGCTGCTTCTATCTTTGGCTACTGGAAATGATGCTGCAATAGACATAGATGTACAAATATTTCTTCCAGACTCTGCTTTCAATTCTTTTGTGTATATATCCAGGGGTGGCATGACAGGATTATATGGTAATTCTATGTTTAATTTTTTGAAAAAGCACCATTTATATTCTACAGTGGATGCATCCCCAGCAAGAGTGCCCAAGGGTTCAAATTTCTCCATATCAGCAATATTTGTATTTTCTGTTTTTTAAAATATCATGGTCATCCTGATGATGTAAGGTGGTATTCCACTGTTCTTTTGATTTGCTGATTTCCTGTTATATTGCAGAAAATGGGAGGTCAGAAAATTGCAATTTATTTAAGATTATATAACTGTTACATGACAGAGCTGAGACGTGAATCCAAATCTGACTCAGTCTAGTAGTTTTCATCTATATGGTTAATAAGCATATTATATATAAATCTGATTATGTCACTTTCCCATTTAAACCCTCCTTTTGATTCTCATTGCACAAATAAAACCACATTACTGTTATGGCTTGCAAGGTTTTGTAAGATCTAGATCCTGCCTTCCTGATTGAATTATTCTAGTCTGTAGTTCCCTTCTCTCACCATTTTTCAAAATTTGCCTTTTATTCCTGTTTCTTGAACAGACATGACTCACCTACTTCTCAGGGCCTTGTCAAGAACTATGAGGGCTCTGATATTTTACCTTAATTGCAATTGCAGAAGGTTAGTCTGCAAAAGTTTCATAGATATTGGCAGAAGATAAGAGATTTCTGGATCAGCCTTAAAGGACCTTATTACTTCCAGGGTTAACAGTAACCAGAATGTCAGCAATTACGCTGATTCTCTGAGTCACGACACCCAGGGCTTATTGAAAAGAACTTTGCACATGCAGTTGTTTGCACTCCAGAAGAGTAACCTCAAGCTTCTGGAACCCAAATCTTTATAATAGATAGTGAACATTCCTGATCTTTGACCCAGAGGATGACATTATTTATATTATACCAAATGGGGGGTGAAAAAAAAAACAATTTTCCCTTTGCTCTGGAGAGAGACACTATTCTTATCATCAGATTTTGTAAACAAAGCTACCTTTGCACTGGAGGAAGACAGTATCTCTATCTTCTAATGCTGTTTTCCACACACACATTCATGAAAAGGTGGTCTAAAACAAAGACTGTGAGTACCTCTGCTCAAATTGAGAGGTGACAGCGTGCTAGCAGTCCTCACAGCCCTCGCTCGCTCTCGGCGCCTCTTCTGCCTGGGCTCCCACTTTGGCGGCACCTGAGGGGCCCTTCAGCCCACCGCTGCACTGTGGGAGCTGGCCAAGGCCGGAGCTGGCTCCCTCAGCTTGCAGGGAGGTGTGGAGGGAGAGGCGCGAGCAGGAACCGGGGCTGCGCGGCGCTTGCGGGCCAGCTGGAGTTCCGGGTGGGCGTGGGCTTGGCGGGCCCTGCACTCGGAGCAGCCGGCCGGCCCTGCCGGCCCCGCCGCCCCGGGCAATGAGGGGCTTAGCACCCAGGCCAGTGGCTGCGGAGGGTGTACTGGGTCCCCCAGCAGTGCCAGCCCACTGGCGCTGCGCTCGATTTCTTGCCGGGCCTTAGCTGCCTTCCCGTGGGGCAGGGCTCGGGACCTGCAGCCCGCCATGCCTGAGCCTTCCCCCGGCCCCCGCAGTGGGCTCCTGTACGGCCCAAGCCTCCTGCATGAGCGCCGCCCCCTGCTCCACGGCGCCCGGTCCCATTGCCCACCCAAGGGCTGAGGAGTACGAGCGCATGGCGCGGGACTGGCAGGCAGCTCCACCTGCAGCCCCAGTGCGGGATCCACTGGGTGAAGCCAGCTGGGCTCCTGAGTCTGGTGGGGAGGTGGAGAACCTTTATGTCTAGCTCAGGGATTGTAAATACACCAATCGACACTCTGTATCTAGCTCAAAGTTTGTAAACACACCAATCAGCACCCTGTGTCTAGCTCAGGGTTTGTGAATGCACCAACGGACACTCTGTATCTAGCTACTCAGGTGGGGACTTGGAGAACCTTTGTGTGGATACTCTGTATCTAGCTAATCTGGTGGGGAGGTGGAGAACCTTTGTGTCTAGCTCAGGGATTGTAAATGCACCAATCAGCGCCCTGTCAAAACAGACCACCTGGCTCTACCAATCAGCAGGATGTGGGTGGGGCCAGATAAGAGAATAAAAGCAGGCTGCGGAGCTAGCAGTGGCAACCCGCTAGGGTCTGCTTCCACACTGTGGAAGCTTTGTTTTTTAGCTCTTTGCAATAAATCTTGCTGCTGCTCACTCTTTGGGTTCACACTGCCTTTATGAGCTGTAACACTGACCGCAAAGGTCTGCAGCTTCACTCCTGAAGCAAGCTAGATCACGAGCCCACCAGGAGGAACGAACAACTCCAGGCGCGCCACCTTAAGAGCTGTAACACTCACCGCAAAGGTCTGCAGCTTCACTCCTGAGCCAGCGAGACCACGAACCCACCAGAAGGAAGAAACTCCGAACACATCTGAACATCAGAAGGAGCAAACTCCTGACACGCCGCCTTCAAGAACTGTAACACTCACCGCGAAGGGTCCGCGGCTTCATTCTTGAAGTCAGTGAGACCAAGAACCCACCAATTCCAGACACAAAATGTCATGTAGAAATGCATACGCATACAATTTTAATTTTCTTTAATTATCCTTAAAGTACTTGTCGTATTTGAAATTTTCTTCTTTTCTTATTTTCCTGTCTCAAGCATACCTTACCAGCTCTCCAATTTCCCTGAAACTATTAAAGCTTCATGAAAACAGAAATAATCTGCAAAATTATCTGCATTATTCCTGGAGCCTATACCATTTGGCATATAGATGCTTAGTAAATATTTCTTGAAGGAATGAGTGAACCAGACACCACTGACTCAATTAGAAAAAATTTTATTATAGGATTCTGTGATGGTTTATTCTTGGCTTTCATAGACTTTTTAGATGGTTTCCTTTTGGCTTTCATTTCTAGCCTTTTGTATGAAAAATGAGAGAATTTTATTCACTCATTTATTTATTAGGATTCAAGCATTCAGTACATGTGTTGCACTTATATTAACAAAGAGGCTAATGCAGCAGATACGTTATTGTGAAAATAGGCAAATAATTGCTCATCTAGGTATGAGACCAATTTAACATTGTAATGGGCTCCTCTGCATGCAATGCTGATTTTGAGGCACTGGTAGATGCAATTCAATACTGAATTCTGCAACTCATCACATTTTCTGATAGCAGCAGCGTCTGAATTAGTCACGGTGATTGTGTGTCTTGGACATATAAAACTGTATGTTGGATTTTCATCTTTCAAAATAAGTAGAAAAATACCTATAAAATAAGATATAGAACAAAATATAAAGGTTAATTTTAATTGAAATCTTGTTATCTAAGTTGACTTTTTTTTTCTGGGTATGTGTAAAGACCCAATCTTACAAAGAGCTCTGCCTTCTTTTTCTATGCCCACTGTTCCTCATAACTCAGTACTGAAACACCACACATTGTTCTATTAGGTTATCTACAGAACATTTCTTTAGGAAAGATATATACTCTTCTCTTGGGAGACTATGGGCCAATGAAAATTTGTTAATCCAAGCAATAGAATACTGTGAAAAGTTCTACATCTTATCTCTTTTCAGAAAAGCAGCTAATTTTTATCGAGCATCCACAAAGTGCAAGACACTATGCCATTTTGTGTAATTTTTCAGGACCAAAATAACCTTATGAGATAAATATAACCTTCATTACTATTAGTGCTATTGTTACCACTACTGCTTCTATTGTTATTTAAATAACATTTTAAAATGTGGAAGCTAAAGCTTAGAAGGATTAATCTGACCAAGGTCACAAAATTAGATGTGGAAAAGGCAGGATTATGTTTTTAGTAAATCGTTCAAATGAGGATTAGGAAACTTCATTCTCTGAACCTTAACTGGACTGTGTCTGATCGTGTATCTGAATGCTAGCAATATTTCACATGCCATACATGACAATCTTTTGAAACAGGCCAATAATTCTAAGCATTTGGTATATAAAATCCTATGTTAATATATATTTTGCATAATTAGGTTCTGCTGTATCTACTGCATTTTAATTTACATTTTCTCCCCATATAAAAATAATCTGGAACATTTTCTCATGTTGTTAGATGCTTTTATAGCCATAGTGGCTATACTGTAGTACATTATGGGGTGCAAGACAATTACTCAGTTGATATGGTTGTTTCTGATTTTGATCTGTTAGGCCACATAATTACATATGTAAAAATATTGATTATTTAAAATTGTATAACATTTATAAAAGTTTAAGGTTCTTGAGACATAATTTCAAAGTTGGGTTCAGAAATTTTGCACCAGTGTATTTTGCTGCAAGTAATATTTACGAAGCTTGCTTCTGATTTTTTCAGAAACTAGGTACTACCAATTAAAAAGAAAAATAACCAATTTTCAAAAAGAAAATCTGGTTGTTGTGGCTATTTTTTATTACTTTAGTGGTTGAGGTAGTAGAAATGTTCTTCATCTCAATTGTGGCCACCATGACGTTTGTTAAAACTCATCAAATTATCTATCTAAAACGGGTGAGTTTTACTGTGTGTTAATTATTGCTCACTAAACTGACTTAAAGTTAATGAAGTTTTATATCTCACTCAGGTTGTATATCCATCATGGGTCAGCTGGGAGGTTTGCTTCAAGTAGTCCTCATTTCAGGACTTAGGTTGGAGGAGAAGCCACCATTTCACATATTGCAGAGAGAAATTGAGTACAGTGAAAACTCTAAAGATTAATGATCACCATTGTATTAGGCTGCTCTCGCATTGCTGTAAAGAAATGCCTGAGACTGGATAATTTATAAAGAAGAGAGATATAATTGGCTTGTGGTTCTGCAGGCTGTGCAGGAAGCATGGCACAGGCTTCTGTTCCATTCTGGGGAGGCCTCAGGGAGCTTTTACTCATGGCAAAAGGCAAAGGGGAAGCAGGCATGTCATGTGGCAGAACGAAAGCAAGAGAGAGAGAGAGTTGGGGAGGGAGGTGTCACACTCTTTTAAACAACCAGATCTTGCAAGAACTTACTATCATGAAGAAAGCACCAAGCAATGAGGAATTCAGACCTATCATCCAAACAACTCCCACCAGGTCCCACCTCCAGCATTGAGGATTACAATTCAACATGAGGTTTTGGTAGGGACAAATATCCAAACTACATTAACCACATTCTTTGACCTGCTCCAATAGGGTACGAAATATTTTTCTTCACCAATGATCATAAATTGAGTTTATCTTACCTAAAAGCTAAAAACACATATTTGGTCATGGGATTTTACCTCATAGATAAACATATGATGTTCTGTAGATTGTCTATGCAGTTTTGGAAAGTTAGGTTTACTAACAATCTTTAGTATTTTCCTGATAACTTATAACACAAGCTCTAAAATAATTTTGTATGGCTATAGCCTCAATATTGAAACAATGTCTGGCACATATTAGCCACACCAAAAAATACTTTTCAAATGTATGATGTGTGTAATTTTAGTGAGTAGAATTTTTTAAAGAGATAATTAAATACTGTTTGTTTCAGTCAAGAAAAAAATAGTACAATAGATTGTGTCATTACAATATAAATTGACCTACAAACCAGAAGAAAAGGTCAAACATAAAAATTAATAGAGACTCACACATCCAAGGCCTAAAAATTAAGAAACTGGAAAATTAAGAAAAATGTCAGGTTAATTTTAATCAGGATTTGTTTATTTTTTTAATATTGCACAATGGGTTGGGAAATGGTTAGTGGTCATTTGAAAGATGGCTTCATGTTTAGCACTTCAGAGCAAATTGAAGGTGTTAGAGATGATTATCCACAGCTACAGACTTTATTACAGCAAATATAATGTTTCAAATTGTGTATATTATAAATGTAGACAATTCTGATTCTGGATTGGAGCATAGAACTAAACAACTTTATATACCTTACACGTTTGGTATTCTTGTATTTACCAGTAGTGGGCCTCATAGCATATACACTCACTTTCAGCTGACTTCAAAACTCTATGATGAGATCCTGACTATGGAGCATGACATACTTCTGGCATGTCACATTCCGTCACTTGACAAGAAGACTAGTTTGATTGCACACTTTGTCTTCTTTTAAATGAAACTGAAATTCCTAAACCTAAATCTGAAGTGTGTGACTTAAGCCTGATATGTTCTTTATAAACAATATTTTCCTGTATGTCATTATGCCACAATTAAATGTTGGCATTTATTTTCTCTAAATAAGTTGCTGATGAGCAACAAAAGATGTGCTTAATGTACAAGATTATTCCTTTCTAAATTACAAAGTGGTTTTCTGAAGGATTTATTATTTTATTTTTCATGTATCTCAGTCATCACATTTAAATATCTCTGATATATCCATTTATTTTTGTAATATAATTGCATATATAACAAATGTGATAAGACTGTATCCTGGCAAAAAGCATTGAAATCCAAAGTCTGCAGAAAAGAATAATACAATGTTAAAAATCAAAGGCAAGATCTTATGCCTTGAACAAACCATCCAGATGAAACCTAGGCTATTTTATTCAAGATCATAAATAATCCAATGCCTTCATTAACCTTTATTCTTTTTTATTAGCAAACTAGGCACCATGGCTCTGAGCCGAGCCCAGCAGGCTGCCCATGAAGTGACATTTTAGAGACTGGCAAAGAAATGCACTTTGTGTCAGAGTACACTATCTTGAGTTTTTGTCCTTCACAGCAGGAAAAAGCCTCTCTGGATCCTTTTGTCCTTTTAAAAAGAGACTTGAGTGCACATACACATAAACACATGAGTGTAAGAATTTTTCTTGCTAATATGAAAAATAAATTACTTACCCTTCTAATTTAAAATAGAACACTAAGTATCTGAGTTGGTTGAAAAGTAACTTAAACCAAATTCAGCTGAAGAAAAAACTTAAAAAACAGAATTGAGATTTCCTTAATGATGCATTTTATTTCACAAAGATGCACTAGGTATTTAAGTAGACCCTTCTGTAGTTTTGTAATTTGCTTTAAATATATAAATATATATTTACGGATAGTAGATAGGCAAGATATGGTAGTTATAAAAAACAAAATAAAAGGAATAGCATACAGTATTTGGAAGTGGCAAAGATGTGAACATAACAACACTCCTGGTCTTAATAACATATAGCTGAATGAAAAGAAGTGAAACATTTTTATGTGGGACACATAGTTAATTTAAATGCATCCCTTCAATATATTAATGCAGATGTTTTAGGAAGGCAAAGAAAAAAGCCATATACATTAAACACTTCAGAATTATTGCCTAGGTTGAGAGTGTGAAATGAGAGTGCAGAGAGGGATAAGTAGATAGGTAGATAGATAGATAGATAGGTAGATAGATAGATAGATAGATAGAACAGGAGGACTTTGTGTGCACCGGGGATGATAATGTGGCATAATGCAAACATTATAATTAACTCAGATATCTTCCTGTGATAAAAAAATTCCAGTGTGAATTGAACCTACAAAACAATATGAGACTGTCTTCCTTTCTTCTATTCTATGAAAACAAAGGTGTATTAAACAATAAAAAACCCACTTCAGATAGATAGACTTGTATGTAGGGGTAATATTAGGTAAAATTATAAAACAGAAAATATCACTTCTAAGGTCACCTCTTTGAGACCTTTCTTCACGTCTATGCCTTTAAGTCCAAAAACAAGGATCAGCCTCTCCCGCAAAATGTCATAATTCAGTAAATTCCTTACTTTGTGATTGCTGAGAAATAACCTATAACTTCTTCAGGAATTATTGGAAAAGGAAAAGAAAAGAAAAGAAAAATCACATCTACCTAACATATATACTATCAAAATACATACGATATGCTATATAATATGTATTTTATATAAATTTATATACACTAAGTAAATATATGTAAATACATTATATATATATATATATACACACACATATAATGTTTAATTCACCCTATGTATATTTATTCTAGGTATTTTCTGTACCAGGGAGTTTTCTAAGCTCTAGGAAAATCACAGTCAACAACACAAGGTCCATGTCCTCTGGGAGTTTATTTCTGCAGAGGGAGACTGACAATCCATAAGCAAATAAATTTACAGTGTCAGGTAATAGTAAGCGCTATGGAGAAAAAAAAATTAGCAGAGAAGTGATAGGTAGTGACAGGGAAGCTATATTATATACATAAACCACAGACTCTCTGAGAAGATGGCATTTGAGTATAGCGTGAATGACACAAGAATCCTGCAATCCCCAATAACTTATGGAGTTGAGATGCAACATGGCTCTGTATTACAAAAGCCATGTAGTAGAGTTGGTTTCCTGACCATAAACACAAATATACAAGTAATTATTTTTTTCCTAATTCAGTATCTACTCTGTTTTTTGCTGGCATTTGAAATGATGGCAGCAAACAACTTAGTAAATTCTAAATAAATAGTGATTTCTAATTGGAACACAGTCAATGCAAAATTGCAATCATTCTAATATCTTTCCTTCTCCATTGGATTTATCTAAGCAATAGTGGTGGTGATGTTTGTGTATGCCTTTGGGGTGGGCAGGGGGAAGTATGTGGCATTATGGTGCAAGTTAGTTAAATAAAGGCATATGGTCCACAGTTGTTCCATGCTGGCATCCACTGGGGTGTATAAATCTGGACCCTTGCATTGTCATCCCTCTGCAATGGCATCCTCTGAGGTGTCAATCTTCCTCCCTGGTCTCTGACCATATGGTCTAGAGTGCCTTCTGCTGCCATGCCCCCTTGTCAAAGACTCAGAACTCTTTCAGAGTCTTTTTCTCTTTCAGTTGTATTTAATGACCTTCTCGAAGGCAGGAAATGTTAGATTTGGCTTCAAGGCTGCCTTTCATGGCTTGTTCAGGCCCTCAGCACCTGAACATCCATTTCTCTCCTAACGTTTCTCTACTGTGAGGTAAAGGGGATTCCCTCAAGCTTTCTCCTTCTCAAGATTTTCTGTGAGAAAGGAGACTTGTTTCTTCTAAACTTGTATCCTGATACATTTTAAGAAGTTTATTTCATTATTTCCTTCCCACTGAAGTGAACAGGGAAGGCAGGTTGTAACTCTTATTGCATAACCAACCAATGTTTACAAACTGCTTCTCACTTTAAATTCTCTTCCCAAGCCTGGAGAATATTTAGTCTCAGGGAAGTGAGAGAAATGCCCCAGTAAATAATCTTTGTGTCTTGTTTTATTTTTTTTTTCATCCTGGAAGCAGATAATCTTGTGTCTGAATTCTTTTATAATAAAGCCCCCTTGACAGCAGAACTTTTAGGGATAAGGAAAGGAACTTACGGAACAACTGAAGAAATCCCATGAAGCTTGGAAAGGAGATGAATAGTTAAATACAGGAATACCTTGCACATATTGTGAGTTTGGTTCTGACTACCACAATAGAGTAAGTATCACAATAAAGCCAGTGGCACATTTTTTGTTTTTGTTGTTTCTCAGTGCATATTAAAGTTAAGTTTACAACGTACTGTAGTCTATAGAAAATAGCACTATGTCTAAAAGTGGTTCATTACTAAAAATGCTAACTATCTGAGCCTTCAGTTAATCCTTATCTTTTTGCCCATGGAGAGTACTGCTTTGATGTTGACTGATTAGGGTAGCGGTTGCTGAGGGTTGGGGTGGCTGTGGCAGTTTCTTAAAATAAGACAACAATGAAGTTTGTTGCAATGATTTGGTCTGCCTTTCATGAAAGATTTCTCTGTAGCACACAATGCTGTTTGATAGCATTTTAGCCACAGTAGAACTTATTTCAAAATTGGAGTCAATCCTCTGAAACCCTGCTGCTGATTTATCTGCTAAGGGTATGTGATATTTAAGTCCTTTGCTATTATTTCAACAACATTCACAGCATCTTCACCAGGAGTAGATTCCATCTCAAGAAACCACCTTCTTCACTCATCTCTAAGAACAACTCCTCATCCGTCCAAGTTTTATCATGAGATTGCAGCAATTCAGTCACATCTTCAAGCTCCAATTTTAATTCAAGTTATCTTGCTATTTCCACCACATCTGCTATTACTTCTTTCACTAAAGTATTGAATCTCTCAAAATCATCCATGGGGTTTGGAATCCCCTTCATCCAAACTCCTGTTAATGTTGATATTTTGACCTCCTCTCATGAGTCACAAGTGTTCTTAATGGCCTCAAGAATGGTGAACCTTTTTCAGAATGCTTTCAGTTTACTTCACTCAGATTCATCATTGGAATCACTATCTATGGCAGCTGTAGCCTCATGAAATGTATTTCTTAAATAATAAGAGTTAAAAGCCAATATTACTGTTTAATCCACACACTGAAGAATGGATATAGTGTTAGCAGGTATGAAAACAACATGAATCTCTGCGTACATCTCCATCAGAGCTCTTGGGTGACCAGGTGCTCTGGCCAATGAGCAGTAATATTTTGAAGGGAATCTTTTTTCTGGAAAGTAGGTTTCAACAGTGGGTGCAAAATATTCAGTAAACCATGCTGTAAACAGATATGCTGTCATCCAGCTTTGTTGTTCCATTTATAAAGCACAGACAGAGTAAATTTAGCAGAATTCTGAAGGGCCCTAGCATTTTCAGAATGGTAAATGAGCATTGGCTTCCACTTGAAGTCACCAGCTTGTATTAGCCCCTAACAAGAGAGTCAGCCTGTCTTTTGAAGCTTTGATGCCAGCCATCGACTTTTGTCTAGCTATGGAAGTTCTATATGGCATCTTCTTCCAATGTTTGTCTACATTAAATATCTGTTGTTTAGTGTAGTCACCTTCACCAATTATCTTAACTAGGTCTTCTGGTTAACTTGCAGCAGCTTCTCCATCAACACTTGCTGTTTCACCTTGCATTCTTTTGTTATGAAGATGGATTTTTTCCTTAAACCTCACAAGCCAAACTCTGCTAGCTTCCAGCTTTTCTTTTTTTTTTTTTGAGACAGAGTTTCGCTCTTTTCGCCCAGGTTGGAGTGCAATGACGCGATCTCGACTCGCTGCAACTTTCACATCCCAGGTTCAAGTGATTCTCTTGCCTCAGCCTCCCAAGTAGCTGGGATTACAGGTGTGCACCACTACGCCTGACTAATTTTGTATTTTTAGTTGAGACAGGTTTTCACCATATTGGCCAGGCTGGTCTCGAACTCCTGATCTCAGGTGATCCATCCGCCTCAGGCTCCCAAAGTGCTGGGTTTACAGACATAAGCCACCATGCCCAGCCCCCAGATTTTCTTTTCTAGATTCCTCACCCTTCTCAGTCTTCACAGAATTGAAGACAGACCCTTGCTCTGGATTAGGCTTTAGCTTAAAGAATGCTGTGGCTGATTTGATCTTCTATCAAACCACTCAAACCTTCTCCATATCAGCAATAATGCTGTTTTGTTTTATCATTTGTGTGTCCACTGGAGTAGCACTTTAAATTTTCTTAAAGAATTTTTCCTCTGTATTCACAAT
Organism: Homo sapiens; assembly: GCF_000001405.40. NCBI lineage: Eukaryota > Metazoa > Chordata > Mammalia > Primates > Hominidae > Homo > Homo sapiens. The sequence goes on along the minus strand of NW_019805488.1, from coordinate 88,186 downwards.
TTGGCTTGCTGTTTAGTGCAAGTGGCCTAGTTTCAGCCTGTGTCAGCTTTGGTATGCCTTTCTTACTGAGCTCAATCATTTCTAGGTTTTGATTTAAAGTGAAAGATATGTGAGTCTCTGTTTCTTGGGAACACTTAGAGGCTATTGCAGGATTAGTAATTGGCCTAATTTTAATATTGTTGTGTCTCAGGGAATGGGGAGGCCTAAGGAGAGAAAGGCAGATGGGAAACAGCCTGTTGGTGGAGCAGTCAGAACACACAACATTTATGGATTAAGTTTGTCATCTTTTATGGGTGCAGTTCATGAAACACAACGGTAACATCAAATATTGGTGAAATAGATCATCATAATAGAATAATGATGAAAAAGTTTGAAATATTGGGAGAATTACCAAAATGTGACACAGAGACATGAAATGAGCACATGCTGTTTGAAAACAGTATACATAGATTTTCTTAATGCAGGGTTGCCAGAAACATTTAACTTGTGAAAAACCCAATATCTTTGAAATGCAACAAAGCAAAGAGCAATAAAATGAGGTATGTCTGTATTTCACAGATTTTGTAAAGGGCTGATTAACGATCCTCCACTCCTCTGGCCACAGACACAAAAAATTCTAGAGAAAATGTATGAAATTTTAATCAATTAATGGCTGCTCCTGTAAAAAGACATTTCAGTAAGGCCAGGAAAAAAGTGGGACCACATCACTGACCATGCCTACTCCAGAAGGATTTTTGTAGCTAATGGAGAGGTGGAGATTGTTGACTGAGTCTTAAGTCTATACTGGGAAGAGAGTCAGTTTAGAAATCATCCACCTAAAACTGAAACTGAGAAAATGATGAGCTGGCACTAACCTATTAAGCCAACAATAAAGGAAAATTGTTTGTCTGAATTCTGGCTCCGTTGGAGATTAAAATGCAATAAATAAAAATGCTTATATGTCTGTGGGCCTGAGTTACACTATACATGTTTTCTAAAAGTCTGTACCTACAAAATTTTAACGGTAATTACATCTGTAATTGCCTTGTGAATCTTGCCAAAGCAAATATAAAACCTCTCAGAAAGGGATCCCCAAACACCACAAGAAGTTACGAAAGGAAAACACTAAAAAATGGTGAGCTAAAAAAGTAAGATATGGGAAAATCTAATATATTGACTACATAGCAAAAGTAGTATCATGAATAATTTCTAAATTGAAGACACTTTGAAAATGTCACAATTAAAACATAGGATAATAATAGCATATAAGCTAGGAGAGGTTAAACATCTTGAGAGGCCGAGGTGGGCGAATCACGAGGTCAGGAGATCGAGACCATCCTGCCCAACACGGTGAAACCCCGTCTCTACTAAAAATACAAAAAATTAGCTGGGCCTGGTGGTGGGCGCCTATAGTCCCAGCTACTTGGGAGGCTGAGGCAGGAAAATGGCGTGAACCTGGGAGGCGGAGCTTACAGTGAGCCGAGATCAGGCCGCTGCACTCCAGCCTGGGCGATAGAGCCAGACTCCGTCTCAGGAAAAAAAACAAACAAAAAAACAAAAACAAAACTTGGGGTCCTTAAACTGTATAGAAGGAGGGTAAAAACTTTAGAAAATTAAACCATTAAATTAGGTATGTGCATAATAATTTCAAGGCTTACCAAATACAAATAGTTATTTTTCGAAAACAGAAGAAGATTAAAATAGAATTAGAAAAAGAAATTATGTTAGCACAAAATAAGACATGAAGCAGAGGAAAAAAAAATGGAAAATACCCACAAATAGGAAGCAAGAATAAGGTGGTAGAAGTAAATGTAAATATAGCAACATATATTTAGACACTGTGTAAAAAACTCAATTACTTGCTTTTTAATAAAACACACCTAAAATATAAAAACTGATAAAAGTAAAGAGTGAAAGTTTGGGAAAAGGAAATTAAGTAAACACTCAACACAAGAAAGCTGGTGTAGCCATTTTTGTTCTGGGATACCCATTCTTATGGGGGTGGCTGACAGCAACAGTAGTGTGAGAGAGAGATGACATTCTTAAGTCACTTTACAGTTCTAGACAGCAATGAGGGGCAGCAGGTGGCAGGACACAATAGGGACTGTTTGTAAGCTCATGTGAAATACCTTGGGGAGCTCCCAAGATATCCTTGTCTCAGAATCAGGAGAGTTTTTTTGTGGTATTAGAGTATGATTATATGCATGTAATTTAGGCATAAATAATGCCACATTAACACATACATGCACATATAACATGTATAACACTTATAACATTAATTTAATTTTATAATTCATAACGTTTGACTTGAACCAGCAGGCAGGTAAACCTAGAGAAATACGGGCTGTATCCATTACTTTTGTTTACAACTTTCCAGGAGACTCTGAAGGCCATTGGTGAGCAGTTGATGTATCAAATGCATTCTCTCTGCAAATAAGTAGATCTAGCTAATACCAAATATTGGGTATATATTCAAACTTGTCACTTTTGAAATCAAACTATAAGAGAGGTTATAGATGTCTCATGGATGTAAAACTAATTGTATCTAAAATATAATAAATTATAAAATATTCACTATGGGATCCAAATAGTGTCAGTTTTCACTTAATGGTTGTCTGTTAAGTCCAACTATTATATCAGGTGTTTTTAGGGTATTCTTACTCATTCTTCAAAGGTTATCAAATTGATTATATTAGCTCTGTTTTTGGCTAGGAAAATTAAATTTAATGAGATTGCGTAGTTTACAATAACATTGGAGAACTTAATGTAACAATTTTCTAAAAGAACTTTTAGGAAATTCTCATTCTGAGACAAGGATATCTTGGAAGCTCCCCAAGTTATTTCACATGAGCTTACAGTCTCTATTGTGTCCTGCCACCTGCTGCCCCTCATTGCTGTCTAGAACTGTAAAGTGACTTAAGAATGTCATCTCTCTCTCACACTACTGTTGCTGTCAGCCACCCCCATGTTTTTCTATTTTTTTCACCTTAGCACTTATCACTCTCTAACATATCACAGTATTTATTGTATTTAAAAAAATAGATATCTCCTCAAGTAGAAAGAAGCCCCATGAGGATAAAAATTTCTGATTTTTTTGTTCATTGCTCTTTTCCCAGAACCTAGAAGAGTTTCTGCCATAGTAAGCAATCAACAAGTATTTTTTAAATAAATGAATTAATAAATAAATAATCTGTGATCAAGGATTTTGAATAGCTTTATTCAGTGGCTATTGGTTCCAAGCTCTTTATTATGACAGAAGAGATGGTGTTTGCAGAATATTCCACCTACTTGGGAGACCCTTGTTCAAAGAAAGGATTTGTCCTTCTTAATCATGAAGTAATAAATCATAATATTATATCAACTGTTAAAAATAATTTTAAATGTTAAAAAATATATTGCAAAACAAAACAGAAAAATAATCCTTACCAAATGTAGAAATAACACATGAACTTTAGATAAGTATGAATTACTGATACCGTATTCAAAATGTAGAAGCTATGAAGAAAAATGAATACACACATTTGCACATTTACTCAAGGTATGTAATGACATATTTTGTGATTTAAGACCCTTGATATTATCTTTGGTCACAAATCAAAGCCACTAGCTTTGTCTTAAAAGAAAATGAGATGGTTTACTTCAATAAAAATTAATTGCGTTCCAGTTCCGTGTTTATTATCATTGATAGGCAATACTATATACATCTACTTCACCTCCTTCTCACAATATGATTTCTTAAACAGACATAAATAATGTTTATTTCTTCAGATAGAGATGAGCAATGATCTTGCCTCCAGCAATAATTAATTGGTGGCTTGTAAAGTTGAGAAGAATAATTTTATTTATGTAAATAATCTGTTTCAGTTATTCTAGGTTATAGATGAATTGTGAGTAGCTTAGTTATAAGAAGAAACTGAGATGTATTTTAATTAGTACGGTCAGGTCCAGCTATGCATGAAAAACTAGATAAAAATAATTTGAAAGGCATTCTATGTTTATATATTTTTTGAATTTATTATTTTAAAAAATTTTTTCCAACTATGTCATGTTTTCAAAGATTTTCTTTTTAAAAATCATTGATTCTAACAAAGTTTTATGCAGTCTTAAAATATAATGGCATCTCTTACTTTATGAGTATGTATTTTACCTAATCCATGAGAAATGTGTTCTGGTTTTTTTTCAGCCTTTATATAAACTGGTGGTATCAAGCAAGCATTTCTATCAAAAAAAGATACTCATAGATACTATGTACTTTATGTGTATTAATGTATTTAATCTTAAAGACAACTTTATGCAATATTTACTACTATTGTTACTCTCATTGAACAGAAGAAAACTGAGGTAAGGTCTCATAGCCAACGAGCAGTGGATTCAGAATTCAAACACAAGCATTTTGGTTCAAAAGCTCAAACTATGAACACTATAAAAATATTAATTACAATTAGAATTATAATAAAAACAGCACCTATCACTTATGTGACAAACATTGTGTTAGATGTTTTATATAAATTATCATCTCTTTATTAATTTACCATTCTTCTCTACTTAAGGTCAATTGACTACAGATATGTGTGTCTATTTCTAAATTTTATTATTTCTAATGATCTGCGTGTCATTATTTGCAGCAATATCACACTTTAATGCTTACTGCTTTATAGTAAATATTGAAGTTAGGTAGTGTAAGTCCTCCCTCATTTCTCCATTTTTTCAAATTTGTTTTGAATATTCTAGATCCTTTACGTTTTCAGATAAATTATAAAATTGGCTTTTTAGTTTCCACCTCAAAACATTTTGAGATTTTGGCAAGAAGTTGACTGAATCTACAGAGAACAAATATCTTAAGAATATTTAATCTTCTGATTCATAAGCATAGTATAACTTTGTATTTGGGGGAATGTTTGTTAATTTATCTCAGCAATGTTTTATATTTTTCAATGTAGAGGACTTGAAAATTTTTTAAAATTTAATTCTAAATATTTTACATTTTATATGGACATGTAAGTAATTTTCTGATTGTTTGCTGATAATATTTATATATGAAATTGATTTTTGTATATTAAAAATATATCCTGTAAACTTGCTCAACACACCTATTGGATCTAGAAGGATTGTTTTTGTAGTAACAATTTTTAATTAGGAGTTTAGAAAGATAATCATGTCATCTGTGACTAAAAAGTGTCTTACTTCTTCATTCCTACATTATGTATTTTATTTCTATTTCTTACCCTATCACACAAGCTAGTATTTTCATTACAAAATAGATAGATGAGGGAAGAATCATTATTTTGCCCTAATTCTTATTTTAGGAGACATGTATTCTCTATTTACCATTAAAATATGAGATCAATTATAGTTTTTTATCACATGTAAATGTTTCCAGGCTGAAGATGTTCACTTTTGATACGGTTTTCCAAGAGATTATTTTTCTAAACACAAAAAGATATCAAATTGCTTCAAATGCTTTTATACATCTATGAATGTTGATCATATGACTTTATAAATTTGTTAATATGGTGAACTAGACTGATTACTTTGAATGTTAAACCAACCTTGCATTCCATAAATAAATTTCACTTGTTTATATTTTAATATATTACTTCATTTAATTTCCTAAAATTTTGTTAGGAACATTTCATCTGTGTACATGAGAAATATTATAGTTTGTTTTGCTTGCATGGTTTTGACATGATGGCAATTCTAGCCCCATAAAATGAATTGAGAAATGATCTGGAAAATTATGAAATCTTTCATATAAAATTTGTAACATTTACTCCTTAAATGTTTGGTAGAATACATAAGTGGAGCTATCAGGTCTTTCAGTTTTCTTTGTGGTAAGATTGTGATAGATAGACAGTAAGATTGTGGCAATTTGGGTCTTCCAAATAATTTTTCCATTCTATCTAAATTATTACATTTCTTAACATAAATTATTTGTAATATTTCCTTCTCATTGTAATACCCATAGGTTCTTTAATCATGTCTCATCTTTCATTCCTCATGTTGGTAATTTATTTGCCCTCTGTTTTATCATTTAAACTATATGGCTAGAAATTTATCAATTTTATTGATCTGTTCAAAGAAACACTTGATTTCATTCATTCTCTCTATTGTTTTCCTGTTAAGAATTACATTGATATTTGCCATTATCTTTTATTAATTGCTCCTTTCTTTGTTTTGATTGTTCTTCTTTCCTGGTTTTGTAAGGGTAAAGCCTAAACATGAGTCTGCAAACTACAGCCCATGGGTCAGAACCTGTTTTTGTAAATAAATTTTTATTGGAATGCAGCCACACTCATTTGTTTAGATATTGTCTGTGATTGCTTTCTCACTGCAGCCTCAGAGTTGAGTGATTGTGACAGAGAATATAAGGCCTAGAAGCCTAAAATAATACTCTCTGAATCTTTAAGAAAAAGTTTTTTGACTATTGGCTGAATGACTGTTTTGGGATTTTTCTTCATTTCTGATATAAAAATTTAAAGCTATATATTTCCATTTCATCACTATTTTACCTGCCTTTCTCAAATTTATATGTGCTATGTTTGATTTTCACTTGATTCAAGATATCTTTAATTTTCTTTCTGATGCTTTCCTTAACTCATAAATTATTGAGAAATGTATGGTTTAATTTCCAAGTATTTGGAAATTTATCTTATTACTTCCTTTAGTGATTTATAGCTTAATCTCATAGTAGTTGGTTAGAGAATGTATTTTGTATTAATACAGACAGGAGACAGGGAAAAATACTGGGTAGAATAGGGCTGTCCCCAGCAAAACCTCACCTTCAAGCCTGAATCCATGGCCCAAAGTGAGACATGCATTCCTGTTTTCCCACCCGAATGTTGCCTTTTTCAAAACCACTCTGGCCTGCCCTGCTCCCAATCCTGTACCCATAAAAACCCCAGGCTCCACTGGCAAAAGTGGCAGAGTGGCAGAGCAGCAGAGAAGGAGAGAAGAGAAGAAACAGCCAGACATTGGAGAAAAGCAGCTTGACTTCAGAGGGATGGCTTGACGCTTAACAGTGGGTCCTCAGAGAAGAGTTTGGCGGGGGATGACTGAACTCTTCTCTGAGGTCCCACTGTCAAGCTGTCTCTCTGAAGGGAGAAGACCACCTTCCCACATCATCCCCTTTCCAGCTCCCCATCCTGATGAGAACCACTTCCACCACTCAATAGAATCCTCCACATCCACCACCCTTCAATTCATTTGTGTGACCTGATTCCTCCTGGATGCCAGACAATGACCTGGGTGTGGGTGCAAGGGGCTGTCACACGACCCTCCACTGAGCTGTCTAACACTTAAGCCACCCACAGACAGTGAAAGTAAAAGAGGACACTGTAACACATTCCCTCTGAGGCTCTGGGGGTCATGGGCAACCCCTAGATGATGCTGCAGGTTCACACGGAGTTCTGCTCTTGTTGGTTACCCAGAAGCGCTCATCCTGGCCTCTGCACCTGCCCACCTGCATGTTCCCCCTCCCGTGAGGGGTTGAGAGCTTTGGGCTGAGTAAAAAGCCAACCCGCTTGTGAGTCCTTTGAAGAGGTCAAGGAAACTATCAGATTTCAGTGTGATTTTCATCCATTTATTTAGTTTTATATTGTGATACTCAGGGTATATTATAATACAATTATAATTATGTTAATAATATTATAAATTATATTCATATTTACAATAATATAATCATAATTATAAGGTAATCTAACCTGTTAAATGTTTCACGTACACATTGAAAAAATAGTTGGCTAACCACAGCCCATGGCCCTATCTATCTTACAATGTGTTTTTTTTTTTTTTTGGGACATAGCCACTTTCATTCATTTATGTATTGTTTATGGCTGCTTCTCTGTTTCAAAGACAAACTTGGGTAGTCATGACACCGGGCATATGGCCTGCAAAGTCTAAATTATTTTATTTCTGAACCTTGACAGAAAAAAGTTTGCCAATCACTGCTTTCAAAAAATATGTTCTGCTCTTGTCTAGCAAAGTGTTTTACAAATGTCAATTACAAAAAGGTTGCACAAGTCTCTGATTTTCTGTCTACTTGTTCTACCGATTGAAAGAAAGCCATTGAAATCTCCAACTCTAATTGTGGGTTTTTCTACTCCTCTGTAAAATTTCTGTTAGTTTCTGCTTTGTGTAGTTTAAAGCTCTATTTTTAGGTACACTAAATTTAGGTTTATTATGTTGATGAATTGCTCCCTTTATCATCTCTTTTTGTTAATATCATTTGCTTTGAAATACACTTATATCTCTTTTGATCCTTTTTTTGTTTCCTTTTACTTTGAGATAATTCTATAGAATTGTATATTCACATGAAATTGTAAGAAATAATACAAAGAAATGTTGCATAGCTTCACTCAGTTTTCCTGAAAAATAACATCTTGTATACCTATAATACAATATCATAGCCATAACATATACTTTGATAAAACCCACCTACCTTAATTAAATTTCTCCAGATTTGCATACACTCACTTGTGTGTATGTAATCATATACAACTGTTTTCCAGAGTGGCTATACCAATTTACCCTCCCACCAGTATTGTATAAGTGATACAACTTCTCCACATCCTTCCCAGCCATTGATTGCTTTAAGGTTTATGGTATATGTCTTTAACATATCAAAGTCTATCTACTTTTAAGTGATATACAGGTATCATGTAAAAGAACTTTACAACAGTATGCTTCTGTTTATTTCTTCCCAGCCTTTGTACCACTGTTGTCATACATTTTATTTCTGTAAAAGTGATAAGACTCATAAGACTTCATTTTTTGCCATTAAACAGTTAACACTTAAGTAGACGTAAATAATTCCTTTTGTATACCCATAAAATATCCAGTTTTGATTGTCTCCATTTCTTTGTTTATAGCCAAATTCCCATCTTGTATTATTTTCCTTGTGCTCAAATAACTGTCTTTATAATTCTTCATATTGTATATCTGTTGGTGGTTAATTCTTTTACATTTTGAATGTCTTCAAAATCCTTTTTTTTCCCCCGCAGGTTTTTAAAGGCTTTTTCTTTAGAAACATGCTTTTATTTTTAATAGATTTTTTTAATTGATAAAGAATTTTATGTTGATGGGATTGACGATTTTCTTTCTTCTTCATTTCTTTTTTTTGGTTGTTGTTGCTGTTGTTTTCAGTACTCAAATGATGTTTCTCTCTTCTAACTTGCACTATTTCAAGAAGAGATCATTTGTGTACAATGGGTTACTCTCTAGCTGCTTTTAAAATTTTCTTTCACTGGTATAAAGCAATTTGGTTACTGTATGCCTTGGTATAGTTTCTTGTGTTTGAGTTTTCTTGAGTTTCTTGGATTTGTGGGCTTACAGGTTTTAAGAAATTTGGAAAAAAACTTAGTCATTGTATCTTTAGGTATTCTATCTATTTCTTTCTTTATTCCTTCAGGGACTTCAATTACATTTTATATTATGCTACTTGAGTTGTCTGCCAGTTCAGTAACATTTTGTTCATTTTTCTCATGTTTCTTTAACTTGTGTTTCACTTTGGTGTTATGGTGTTTTGTGTTTTCTATTGCTATGTCTTCAAGTTAATTAATCCTTTTTCATACAATGTCTAATCAGAAGTTATTCATTACCAGAATATTTTTTCATTGCAGACATTTTAGCTTTCATCTTTAGAAGTTCAATTTGAATCTTCCTTCTGTGTTTTAATTGTTAAATGTTTTATCCAATTTATTGAGTATATGCCATACAATTTTAATAGTTGTTTTAATGTCATTTTCTGCTAATTTAGTTATTTGTGTTATCTTTGGATGTTTCAGTTAACTAAGATTTTTCTCATTAAGTGTCATATTTTTCTACATCTTTGCATACCTGGCAATATTAGATCTAATAAATGACATAAATTTTATCTGTTTGCATACTGGATTTTTAAATATATATAAAAATATTTTTGAGCTTTTTTCTGGGATGCAGTTTAGTTAAATGAGAACAGTTTGTTCCTTTCAGGTCTTGATTTATGCTTTGTATGTGGGGCCAGAAAAAGCATTTAATCCAGACTTAATGTTTTTTCAATACCAAGGCAAGATCTTTCTTAGCCAAAAATGGCAAACTCCAGCTGGAAGACTGGGGATTGTTTTGATAAATAAAGTATATTGAAACAGAACCATGGTTGTGTTTTTCCATTTTTCTATTTTCTCTGGCTGCTTTTGTGCTACAATGACAGCTGTAACAAAAACTATGTGGTCCACAAAGCCTGACCCTTTAAGGAAATGTTTGCCAGTTGCTCTCCCAATGGATACCTCATAAGTTAATGAGGTTTCCACTCTGTCTTTTGAGAACAGCCATTATCTGGCCTTATATTTTTCTTTCTCTGGCTCCAGATAGTTTGTATATATGTAATAATCAGTACTCAAATGAATACAGGAGGGGAACCCTCTGCAACTCTCTGAGTTCTCTTTCTGCATAGCTCTCTCCTACAGGAGACTTTTGTCATGCAAATTCTAGCCACCTTGGTTTGTCTGAACTCCCAGTTCTTTCTGCTCAGCTCAGGAACACCACTGAACTCTTTGATTTTTCCATCTCAGCACTGTGGCCCAGAATTATTCTCTAGACAGAAAACCTGGGCAAATGAAACTGACCTTTTCATTTTCCATCTCTCAGGGATCACTGTCTTTTCTTGTCTGATGCTCAATTTTCTGAGAATCATTGTTTCCATATTTTGTCCTTTATTCTAGGTGTTTCCTAATCTTGTCCAGAAGTGGCAGTCCAAGATTTAAATTTTTTTCTCAAGTTCTAGGATAAATAAACAAAAACATATGGGTCTTAATGTTTAATTTATCATAGGTAAAATGTCTGGATCTAACTCATTCTAAAATGAGAAGCTCAGAATTAATAATTTCTAAATTCTTCCCACTTTTTACAAATTGTGAATAAGAAATTTTGCAATATGTAAGTCACAGAAAGACATTTAATAATTTGGAGAAATAAGAGGGTGTTTATATGTAGGTAATCTTGGGTGAGTTTAATTAAATGAAGAAAACTCCAACTATTAGCATTGATTATGTAATATAAGCAAGCTATTTTAATTTTAATCCAATAATGAACTACCTTTAAGATAGTTCATCATAGATTATCTTTTTTTCTTCTAATAAATGGCTGCTTTTTATTGTCATTACCCATTCACCAAAGAACACTGGGAAAGTAGACTGTAGTTGAATACAATGGTTTTATTGCTCTTTGAAAAAGGGAGAAAATTCATAATAAAAAAGTATCTCAGTAAGAAGTTGTTAGAAAATATTTACAGGAATTGAGCTTGTGTTAGGAAAGATTCACAGAAGCATGGATTTGCTCCAGATTGGATGTTGTCAGGAAGCAGGAACAATTCTATGATTGGATTCATAATAAATAGTGTCTATAAGGCAGGAGGAAAACATTGGGGCTAAAGATGTAATTGGTAAAGAAGCAGCAGTCAAGCATATTAGTCAGGATTGAGATGTTTGGTCTTTTTTATGGCTGAGACAATGATCATACTATTTGTGTTGAGCCATGATTATGGAATAGTCTTGTTTTTGTCTTAATTCTCATTGATAGCACAGCATGGCCTTTTCTGATGTTGATATTTCTGTTAAATTGTTTATGTTCAATAGAAGAAAATCAAAGCCTAGTCGTGTCAGGCCACTTTCCAAATGCCAGAAGCTGCTTTTTTTTTTTTTTTTTTTTTTTTCTGATTGTCAGACATGAGTACAAGATAGAGTAGCAAGAACCCTGCATTGGTATTTAGGAGACCGGAATTACCATCTTCCTTTTTCTATCATCTATGTATCATTGAATAAATAAACACAAATATCTGGGTCACAATGTTTAATTTATCTCAGGTAAAATTTCTGGGTCTAACACTTTGTAAAATTAGAGAGTTAGATTTTAATAATTTCTAAAGATGGTCTCATTTCTTATATTCTATAAATAAGAATTTTTTAAGCTAAAAGATTTCATTCTGAAATACTGAGTGAAATAAAACATTAGGGAATTGTATTTTTTATTTCTTTAGATATAATCTTCATAGTAGGGATAAGAGGTCTCTATGCCCTGCTTCTTACTTTCTGAATCTCTGGGAATAAGTCCATGAACAAAGCTGTCTCTTATTTTATCTTTCATAACAATGCAGATGATAATACTTCTAATTCATTGCATGGCTTTGAAAAAATACAATTCTATTTTATTTCCCTTTTAATAGGAAAGATGACATATTACAAATAATTCTTTCCCTTCCCTCCTCCAACAAATTCACATCTATATATTTTATAGGAACATTTTTTATTTAGTATATTTCATGGCTCAATTTATACATGAGACAAAATTTTTAGAATTTTAGAATTATATTCATCATTAGAGTTCACCTGTTTATTTTTTCATCTGTGTAAATATTCATTTTAGGTAGTGCCTCACATTTTAGCAATGAGCCCTTTTAAGGTATTTTACATCTACGTAATCTAGAAAGAGAGTAGGCACTATTGTTTGTTTTCACCTTGGCTTTCTGGGAAAGTTCTGCTCCTTGTTGAAAGTTCGCTGGGTATCTCTTATCTTTTTCCTAGCCAATACTTGGATATATTATGCTGTGAAATATTTTTAACTGCCAGTATGTCTTTATGTGTGTCACAGATTTCTTTGCATGATCCTTTAAATACACAGCCTGAACTGTTAAGTCAGATTATGTTCCTTTACCATGTGCAGATCCCCTGTAAATGGCTCAATCAGTGCCTAGAGCAAAATGCTACCTGTCTGTCTCTGGTGTGGGATCTTTTCCAAGTTGACAGATGGCCCTGCTTCATCTGTCTGCTCCCAGGACAGTTCCTGGGAGAATCATAGGCTGGATGTACTCAGATAAAGTAAGGATTTGGCCTGTAAAGCAACCAGTGAGAATTTGCTTAGATTTATCTTTTTCCTATTAACTTTTTTTTTTTTTTTTTGAGAAGGAGTCTGGCTCTGTCACCCAGGCTGGAGTGCAGTGGCGTGATCCCTGCTCACTGCAAGCTCCGCCTCCCGGGTTCAAGCCATTCTCCTGCCTCAGCCTCCCGAGTAGCTGGAACTACAGGCACCCGCCCCCCAGGCCCGGCTAATTTTTTGTATTTTTAGTAAGATACGGGGTTTCACCGTGTTAGCCAGGATGGTCTTGATCTCCTGACCTGGTGATCCTCCCGCCTGGGCCTCCCAAAGTGCTGGGATTACAGGCGTGAGCCACTGTGCCCGGCCCCTATTAACTTTTAAGAACTATCAAAAAAGAGACAGAAGATTCACATAAAGTTCTTTGGTGAAATAAATAAATGGCCTTGTGAGAAATTGGTAACAAATATATTGGGGAAAAGTATAATATTTAACATGTGATTTTATTAAGTGCAAATATTTTTACCAATTATTCAGTACTTCTGGCTTAGCTGGCCTTATTTCTGGAGCAGGTTAGCAGTAAAACATAGATCAGTACAGGATGTGGTTGCTTTATCCTTTGGAAGTTATGGTCTGCTTATACCCTTTTCCGTTGTTTTTAGTCTCAAGTGTACTATCAGCTCGGCAATGATCTTGGCATTACAGGAAACAAAGATGCCTATGAGTACTTTCACAGAGCTAAAAAGATAGTTGGAGAGATAAGATGCCAAATATTAACAAATTATAAAAACTAAGAATTTTCTGAAAGAAAATGATCACAGTGAGCAGTATTATTTTCACAGGAATGTATAAGGTTTTTTGAGATAATCCCCACTTTATGAGATTGTTTTGTTTTCATAAAGGAGGCATATTATATATAGAATTCAATGTCTATGTCTTCACGATACTTTCCATAAAAACCAGGGGTAAAAATCTGAACGTGTGATTGGCTATTCCATTTTAGAACTTGTTTACACATACTCACACATGCAGAAAACCATAGTTATAAACATACTCATATATAAATGACTTTGTAGAGAAAGCAAAATTTGAAACACATTTTAAGTGATCAAGATGATTAAAGTAAAAAGGAGAGAATAAAGAGCTTTTTAAGAACAAAAACTGTATGAATGAATTCAAAGAGTTGGAAAACCTTCTCTGAGTTTGGAGGATGGTGAAAAGACTAGTCTAGAAAGAGCAAGGGTAGTAGGAGGAAAAACAAGAAATAAAGTTAGAGAGGTGAAACAGGGTTAGCATTTAAAAGACCTTCAAAACTTGAGTTTCAGTTTTACAAGATAAATATTATATGATCATTGCTATTTCATGATCAAAATATTTTTACCATGAGACTCATCTTCCAGAGATTGTACAAATTCAGATATACAACTTAGGAGCCAGAAGAGCAAAGTAGACATAGGACAAAATTTTGAATTTGAGGATTTTATTTGAAGTTGTCATAAGAAATATACTTAATCCCTCTAAGTCTCAATATTCTCTTCTGTCAGATTTGGGCAGTCATATAATCCCACCTCTGTATGGTATAATATTCAAATAAAAGGATACGATAAAATATCTCATAAAATTATAACAATATTCATTTTATATGTTACTTTTCCATTAAAACACTGAAAGTATAGCTATAATGTGATAAGGATCTGGACAGTGGAGATGACATGCAATAGAAATGCTTGGGTCAGAGCTGGGGGGCGTAGTGGCTCATGCCTGTAATCCCAGCACTTTGGGAGGCCAAGGCAGGTGGATCACAAGGTCAGGAGTTCAAGACCAGCCTGGCCAAGATAGTGAAACCCTATCTCTACTAAAAATACAAAAATTAGCTGGGTGTGGTGCAGGCGCCTGTAATCCTAGGTATTTGGGAGGCTGAGGCAGAGAACTGTTTGAACCCGGGAGGTGGAGGTTGCAGTGAGCCCAGATTGTGCCACTGCCTCCAGCCTGGGTGACAGAGTGAGACTCCGTCTCAAAAAAACAAAAAAAGAAATGCTTGGATCAGAAAATGTATCTATTTTTTTTTCTTTTTCGTGTTGTATAACTTGTAGCTTCTTTCCATTTCTTTCAGGGTTTTGCTCAAGTAGAGCTTCTCCCAGGAGCACATGGGCTTAGTGATCTGCAGCTGTGAAAACCTGTCAGTCGAAAGCTATGCCACTCCCTTTAACTGACGTCCAGGGAAGCATTAGATATAATGGTAGGACTTGGTAACCTTATGGCATTAGGAGGAAAGAAAGCATCAAAACTAGCTCTTTTCACATTTAGGATTCCAGAATAATACTGCTATTGAAAAACATTGTGTTGTAGAAGAGGGAATCAGTTATTGTGGTAAAAATCAGAAGATTCAATTCCAAATAAGATGTGCTCTAGTTTAAACATATTAAAAGTTCATTGCGAGCAAGCCATCTAAGTGAAGATAATTTGTACTTCATGTGCACAGAATTTGAAGGAAGAGAAAGAAGAATACTTTGAAGACACGAAAGGATATTGAGAATGGCAAAAATAAAACCAAAACAAGAAATGCAATATTAAGGAGAAAGAAATGTTTTTAAATAGTCAGCAGAGTCGGCTAACAGAATTCAAGGAAGATGAGGACTGAGTATCAATCCGTTTTATTTGGTTAGAAAGATTTCATTTTAAAAAAGAAGTTTCACTGCAGAAGAGGATTAGTGATTGAAGACTCACCAAAAAATCCAAGGAATACGGGATGAATAACACTAGAATGGGTCAAAGTAAAGAAAAACTGGTTTAGGAACCTGAGAAAGGAAAATCTGTGTGCAGAGGAGGGGAGTTTATTTAATTAAAGAGTGTTTGTGTCATGTGTATGGGAGGGTATGTGTATGTGTAGGGAGGGTAGAAACAACCGAAGCTCTCAGTACAAGCAATAAGTAGGTGGACACTTGATAGAGATATTTGGAGAGAAAAAACAGGTGAGGATAAGGATGTCAGAAATGCATCAGTATCAGGAAGCACGTGATTCTCAGCAGAGACAGAGCTCTTCCCACTTAAGGAAACAGGTTGGTATCTCAGAAACATTTCTTCCAGCTCCCCATAGCTCCCAGAGTTTCTATATAATGTTCCTGAAAATGGTGTGTGCTCCAAATGAAAAGCTATTTTATATGTTTTTTAAAAATGTTAATGGGAAAATGTGGTGCATATGAAGTATATAGAGGCATAAAAGGTTTTGAGGAGCTACTAGAATGTAAGTAAGTCTAAAAATCTAAGAGATAAAGTTAGTAAATGGACATCAACATGAAAATTGTTGTTGCAAAAAGGCAATAGGACATAGCAGAAGAGTTCTGGGATTAGAAGGACCTGGGTTTAATTCTGGCTTTGCCATTTGGGAAAACATTCCAAAGTTCATTTATTTCTTCAGCTCTTGAAGGAGATACTGATATGTGCTGTTATAACATGAGTTTTCTGAGGATTAAGTAAGACATTACATGTTAAAATGTTTTATTAATACTGAAGCACTACACAAATTAAAAGTGTTAGATCATTTTTATTATTACTGTGGTTGTTGTTATCTATATGATGGTAGATGAAAGACTTGAGTCAAATATGAAGACCTTGGAATTTTAAAAAATTAATTTATCGGAAGAAGACACATGTAAGAATCAGAATTGAAATGAAGAGATTTGAAGATGGGTTAAGTGTCGGTCAGAAAGTTGTATTTGTGAGCAAGCAGCAGGCATATCCTTGCTGCCAGGGGGTAGAAAAACGGGATCAGACATTCATCTGAGAAGATGTCATGGTCTATAATATTTTCAGGAAAAAGCCTAATTTGCATTAGAATCTGCAACTAGAGACAAAAGGAGAGGCAAGACACAACAAGTATGTATATGTATTCTTTTACATTTATTATTAACCTGATGTATTTAAATACTATGGATAAATATTATTATTCCCATTTTACACATGAGAAAACTGAAAGGCAAAAATATTAAATAGGCCGGGCGCGGTGGCTCACGCCTGTAATCCCAGCACTTTGGGAGGCCGAGACGGGCGGATCACGAGGTCAGGAGATCGAGACCATCCTGGCTAACACGGTGAAACCCCGTCTCTACTAAAAATACAAAAAATTAGCCGGGCATGGTGGCGCGCGCCTGTAGTCCCAGCTACACGGGAGGCTGAGGCAGGAGAATGGCGTGAACCCGGGAGGCGGAGCTTGCAGTGAGTCGAGATAGCCCCACTGCACTCCAGCCTGGGCGACAGAGTGAAACTCTGTCTCAAAAAAAAAAAAAAAAATTAAATAATGGGTCCCCATTTGTCACCCCAAGCAATATGTGGTAGTTCCCTAATTCCAGTCTAGTTTGTTGTTGTTGTTTAAATTTCTTTGGAGCCTGTACCCTTTCCAATACTCCTCTTGAGTTTTGTATTTAAGATAAGGTTTGGTTTATGGGGCTTTCACAGGGTAGAGATGAGGTTTACAAGTGTCTCTGATTTTTTTTTTTTAAGTTCTTAGCCTTTAGGTTTGTGTTTAATTCTGAATTTATCTCAACACATGAGACTTTCCTGTGTTTAGGATATTTGGAAAATTTGCTGCAGATAGACAGCATATAGCTGTCTCTCTTTCTTAAATGGTTTTTGATTGCATATACAGAATATGCCATTGAGTCCTGCTGGGGGCTATGGAAGTAGGAATTGAGGAAGTAGGAGTAGCAGCAGGGTTTCTCTTTTCTATCTGTATATTGAACAATAATGTTTTCAAGTATGTGTATGACAAGACTATTTTGAGATTTCTAATAAAACTACCCCTGAGCTAAAAAAAAAAAAATCATTTAAACTTGAGGAAATTTTTAACATCTGTAAAAGGATCTAAGGAGAAAAATGCAAGTAGTTTTCCCTTCAATATTCAGATAACTTTGTAGACTGAAATAAGAAAGTTGAATGAAACACAATCTGAGGTAATAGCATAATATATACTAAGCTGTATTATTTTAGTGGCCAAATGAGTCACATAGACAAGACAGATTTGATAAGTCCTTATTCAAAACAATTAAATGTATGCATCTACATATTATTTAAATTGTTTGGTAGTTATCAGAAATTGTTTTCCTGCAAAACTGACTGTTTTTGAATATCTGGGTAAATGGCTAAGTAACCAAATATAATGACAGTATATAGTTGTACAGGCAGGCAAAAATGTTTTTTAGGTCCACGTGGCACAAAACCTCTCTGGTATTTTCCCTCCTAAATTCATATTCAAGAGGGTATAAATTTCTAGAAGTATAGAGAAAATAATTCTTTTATTACTGTAGATGTCTCTAGCAAGTTATACTTAAAGATATTAACTGACCCACCTACTGAGTACCGGTTGGTTCATAGTTCAGGATATAAACCTAATAAGGAACTGTAAAGGCTGAAGGAATTAAGGATGCTTTCAAATGCCACTACTATTAAATTCTACTAATTCATTTGTGTTTACTAATGGGCTTTGATAATAATAATTTAAAATTATAAGATAAAAGGGGTCACTTTTCATTGAGCTGACTCATGTTTGTAGATATATATATATATATATATATATATATATATATAATTATTAATAGTACACTATGTTCCTTGAAAAATAATAGCAGTTCAGTTGACTGAGGTCGCTGATTCTTAATAACTGTCATGGTTATGGTTACAGGTTGCGCCAAAATCTCTAATGAAAGAAGTAGAGACCCGGTATTAAAAAAGAGGGGGAAGGCAGGCAGATAGGAGTTCTTTTTTCATGCTGGGTAATCTACAGAAACTATATTTTCTTTCTCTTGCTTTCAACTACTGCTAATAGTAGATGTGAGCTTTAATTTATCTTTTTTCTCTTCTACTATTGCCCTTTTCCAAAGTAGGTAAAGTTGAAATGGGGAGGGTACAAGTGCCTCCCTTTCTCATTTATCACATATAGTAATTTCCTTGACATACCCACATATGCACAAATACATATTACTTGCCAGAATCTCAAAAGGGAGAGAAACAATATAAAACAAAATATACTTTTAACTCTCAGAAATATGATAAAACACATTTTATAATACACAGGAAAAGACCACTGTATAAAATTTGAAATATGGCAAGTTGTCTTTATTCTTCTGCAGTATCAAAACTGAGTTTTATAGTTGTTCCGATAGAAATGATAAAGATAATAATTTACCCTGGCAGATTGTGTGTTTCCACCTCCCCACCATCTAAGTACCTCTGTATCCCACCTTCACCTGTATTTTACAACATGCAGCAGCATTGTAATAATGTCCTCAGCCTTATTACCCCTCTACTCCTCTGAGTAGACAGGCAGCATTTTAACTTGTGGAAATGGTGCCTAATTCCCCAATAGAAGTTGCCTTTCTGCTGTATCTTTTCGATGTTGCATATGACTTCACAGAACTGCCTACTACATATCCAAAGAGAAAATGTGTGAATGATTTCATTTTGGAATATCACCAGGTTCAGAGTTAGTGTCTTGAGGGTGGGGGAGGGAGGCAAGCTTTATCTACATTTGTGCTGCCATTTTTTTATTATTATAATTTAAGTTCTGGGGTATATGTGCAGAATGTGTAAGTTTGTTACATAGATATACACGTGCCATGGTGGTTTATTGCACCCATCAACCCATCATCTAAATTAGGTATTTCTCCTAATGCTATCCTTCCCCAATCCCCCCTACCCCCGACAAGACCCGGTGTGTGATGTTCCCCTCCCTGTGTCCATGTGCCGCTATTATATGACATAGAATCTGTAACTCCTTTTTTTATTTAATGCCTCTTCCCCTAACCTATTAAAAATGTACCTCTAAAACGGTATAGGTCGCCATCTTTAAAAAAGATGTAATTACAAATAAAATTTAATTTTGAAATTTTATAATTGTACCTGAATATGAATTGATAATACAGGGGGGACTAGTTGTTACTAAACAAACAACAAAAAGCTAACGAATAATGAACAAATAAATTAATAAACAAAAAGACCGATCTTTAACCTAATACTCTTCCATTTTATAGTTTCATTTACCAATGTAAACTGCTGTTGATCAAACATAGACTTAGTATCTGCTTAAGGTCATGTCTTCATGCAAAGTGGAATACAGTTGGCTTTTCATACCCATGAGTTCTGCATCTGTGGATTCAACCAACTACAGATAGAAAATGTTTGGGAAAAAAAAATTAAAATAACAATGAATCAATAAGAATTATACAAATTTTAAAAAGGCAGTATAGCAACTATTTACACAGCATATAGGTATAAGTAATCTAGAGATGATTTCAAGTATATGAAAGGGTATGCATAACTTATTAATATATGTAAATATTATGCCATTTTATATAAAAGATTTGAGCATTCTTGGACTTTGGTGTCTGTGAGTCGTCCTAGAACCAATCCCCTATGGATACTAAGGGAAGGCTGTGTATATATTTAGTCAAATATATTGAATATTTTATATTAAGATTAATTACTAATTAAATTTAATATTAATGTCTATATTAATTTTAATCATTTTATATTTTATTTTAATAACTATAAACAATCTAGTTATTCAAATAGAAAATATCTCTTTCAAATAATGCTTCTTAAAGGTTATTTTAGGTTAGTGAATATTAAAAATGACTTATAGGAGACAGTTTGAATAAAGCATAAAAGGCTTTATGGAATTGAACATTGAAACTTTATCTCTCCTGACTCATTACAACAATAAAACAGGATACAAATCTTTACCTTAAATTCCAATTTTTCATTACATTCCATTACAACAACAGAACAGGATACAATTTTTTGCCTTAAATTCCAATTTTTCACTTTATGCACAGCCACTATTGATTCTTCCCAAACCATTTAGTAAAAATGAGGTTATATTAAACATTATTGAGCTTAATTGACCCTTCTCACTGTACACAGAATGCTAGAGGATTTAATTATCACTAATACTGTGGACTGCAGAATAAGGGAAGCAAGCTAATATACCTGTTGTTTGCCAGGTGCTCATACCTGTTTTTTAGTCTCCTAAAACAACTTTGGGAAGTACTTGTTGTTTTACACATAAGATAAACATGAGCTTTAAAAAGAGTATATGATTTGCCTAAATTCACAAAGTCATTAAGTAACAAATCTATTATCAAATCTGTGTCTGCCTGGCTTTAAAACCTAACTCTTTGTATAACATTCCTTATTCCAAATACAGTTAATTATGTACTTTTTTGAAATATTATTTAATTTTCTTGTACATGTTGGCCTCTCAATTGGGTTGTAAGATCCTCAATGATATGGAGCCTGGGCCTCTAAAAAAAATAAACTTTGAGGTATAGGATTTGAACTTCAATTCTATTGGTTACAGCCAAACAGGAAATCCCTCTGAACCTCATTTTACTGATACTAAAATGGGATTATGATATCACCCTGATGAATTAGTGAATATTAGTGAATATGAGTATGTAACTTTATATTTAACATATATTTAATGCCAATACGAACCAATTTCTTTCTAATTTCTTAAATAATTTTTATTTTATTTTTATCATATTCGTCTATTTATTTTTGAGACAGTGTCTCGCTCTGTCACCCAGGCTGGAGTGCAGTGGTGTGATCTCAACTCACTGCAACCTTCCTTCTAGGGGTAGGTAGGGATGTAAACTAGTACAGCCACTATGGAAAACAGTGTGGAGATTCCTTAAAGAACTAAAAGAACTGCTATTTGATCCAGCAATCCCACTACTGGATATCTATCTATCTATCTATCTATCTATATATATATGATATATATATATGATATATATATATCTCTATATATACTGGATATATATATATGATATATATATATGATATATATATATCTCTATATATACTGGATATATATATATCATATATCTATCATATATATGATATGTATGATATATATCATGTATATTATATATATCATATATCATATATATCATATAACATATATATATCCAGTATATATATATCATATATATATCCAGTATATATATATATCATATATATATCCAGTATATATATATCATATATATATATCCAGTATATATATCATATATATATCCAGTATATATATCATATATATGATATATATCATATATATTCAGTATATGATATATACTGGATATATATATCCATATATATATACTGGATATATATATATCATATATATCCATATATATGTATATATGATATATATGATATATCTATATATGATATATATGATATATCCATATATATGATATATATGATATATTTATCCAGTATATATGTCATATATATGATATATATCATATATATCCAGTATATATATCATATATATGATATATATCATATATATCCAGTATATATATCATATATATGATATATATCATATATATCCAGTATATATATCATATATATGATATATATCATATATATCCAGTATATATATCATATATATGATATATATCATATATATCCAGTATATATATCATATATATGATATATATCATATATATCCAGTATATATATCATATATATGATATATATCATATATATCCAGTATATATATCATATATATGATATATATATGATCCATATATATCCAGTATATCATATATGTATATATATCATATATATGGATATATATCCAGTATATATCATGTATATGTATATATATCAGTATATATCATATATATGTATATATATCCAGTATATATCATATATATGTATATATATCCAGTATATCTAGTATATATATCATATATATATCATATATATATGATGGAATACTACTCAGCCATAAAAGTGAATGAATTAACAGCATTTGCAATGATCTGGATGAGATTAGAGATTATTATTCTAAGTGAAGTAACTCAGGAATGGAAAACTAACCATTGTATATTCTCATTGATATGTGGGAGCTAAGCTATGAGGACGCAAAGGCATAAGAATGATACAACTGACTTTGGGGACTTGGGGAAAAGAGTGGGAGGAGGGAGAGGGATAAAAGACTACAAATACGGTTCAGTGTACACTGCTCGGGTGATGGGTGCACCAGGATCTCACAAATCTCCACTAAAGAACATATTCATGTAACCAAACACCGCCTGTACTCCAATAACATATGGAAAAATGAAATTTAAAGAACAATAAAGTAAATGATCTCATTCTGCTGGTTTCCCATCGCAAGAAGAAAAATCCAAACCATTGAGTGTGCCCTATTAGGCTCTGCATGACATGGTCTTTGCTTAATTTTACCCTTACTATATTCCAGCCACAGAGTTTCAGAGGGAGCTGTTGCGTTTCTAATTTGGCACTTGCTACTCTATTATTTGAACACTCTCCCATCTCCAGCTCTTCACAGAACAGGTTCCTTCTCACACTGTGGGTCTCAACTACATTTAATCTCTTTAGTGACATCTTCCTCCATGACTACATCAAATGTGAGGCTTACCTGGGGCCATTTCTGATAGCATCACTTTGTTTCATTCATAACACTTAATGATATTGGGTTATACATTTTTTCAATTGAATATATTATTTGGTTATAAAATACTATATAGTTTATAACAATAAAGACCTTTTATGTCTTATTTGCTGCCATACTGCTGAGTTCCTAGAACACTGCCTGGTGCAAACCTGTGCTTAATGAATATTTGTTAAATTAAAGAATGGATGATAAAGAGATGTTATAAAGATTCATGAATAATAAACGAAATCTAAACGGGGTTTTGGGTTTTGTTTTTGTTTTTAATTTTGTGGGTACATAGTAGGTGTATATATTGATGGGGTACATGAAATATTTTGGTACTGGTATGCAATGCATAATAAAAACATCAGGATGAATGGGCTATCCATCCTCTCAAGCATATCTTTTGATACAAACAATCCAATTATATTCTTTTAGTTATTTTAAAATGTACAATTAAATTATTTTTGACTATAGTCACCCTGTTGTGCTAGCAAATACTAGGTGGTATTCATTCTTTCAATTTTTTTTTTGGTACCGTCTCCACTTCCCCCTTCACCCCCACTACCGTTTCCAGCCTCTGGTAACCATGCTTCTACTCTATTTCCATTAGTTCAATTACTTTAATTTTTAAGCTCTCCAAAATTAGTGAGAACATGCGAAGTTTGTCTTTCTGTGCCTGCCTTATTTCATTTAACATAATGACATCCAGTTCCATCCATGTTGTGGCAAGTGATAGGATCTCATTCTTTTTTATGGCTGACTAGTACTTTATTGTGTATATGTACCACATTTTCTGTATCCATTCATCTGTTGATGGACACTTAGGTTGTTTCCAAATCTTGGCTATTGTGAATAGTGCTGCAAAAAAAACAGAGAGTGAAGGTATCTCTTCAATATACTGATTTCCTTTCTTTTGATTATATACCTAGGATCAGAATTGTTGGATTGTATGATATCTCTATTTTTAGTTTTCTGAGGAAGCTGTGGACTGTTCTTAGTAGTTGTTGTATTAATTTACATTCCCACCAACATTGTATGTGGGTTCCCTTTTCTCTTCATCCTCACCAGCATTTGTTATTGCCTGACTTCTGAATAAAAGCCATCTTAACTGGGGTGAGATAACATTTCATGTGATTTTGGTTTGCATTTCTCTGATGATCAATGATGTTGAGCACATTTTCATATGCCTGTTTGCCATTGTATGTATTATTTTGGGAAATGTCTATTCAGATCTTTGCCCATTTTTAATTGAATGATTAGATTTTTTCCCTATAATAAACACTTTTTATTAGGCCTTCCAAGATTCTTTCCCAGCAACCACACTTATTAAAATTTTTTAATAACTGGCATATTAATTTTTATGTTCTATTTCATGTATAGAAGACATGGGAAAAATAAATCTATTATAATCCATGTGGAAGCATACAGACCAGATTCCAGGATTAAACTTAGGGAGATTTTTGAAGTTAAAGTGTTTTACTTCTCTGACAAAAAGCCTTAAATGACAGAATGAGGCAGAACGAAAATTGGGTTAGTGTCTAAAGATGACTTTCATTTGGCCTGGTTATTCAGGAACTGCTATATTGCTTTAAGGAATTTTCAAACAAATAGGTTTGTAGTATGACACAAATTCTGACCAACCAGGGAGAAGAAAGAAGATAAATTACATATCTCCCAATATTCCCCTTTATGGCATATCCCCCTTCAAGCTTTGCTTTGCCTCACTATCCCTGAGTGGAATCAGTCTCTTTGAATTCCACTGGCAATTAGTTTTTACCTTTCTAGAGTACAAGTTGCCCCCATTTCATACTGTGGCAGAGTTGATCATGCAAGATTTGTCTTCCATCTCACAGTAGCTTGCAAACTCCTCAAGGGAAGAATCTGAGCTTTACTTTTTTGTTGCTCCTAAATGCCAATAATAGACACTATCATTTGGGTTTCAAAGTTTGTTAATAACAGCAACTAAATTTGTTCTCTTTAAATGTTCATGAGATATTATGAATATAAATTATCCATTGGTAGGAAAAATAAAAACAAGAAAGGAATGAAGAAAGGAAGGATAAAAGGAAATAAAAGAGAAAGAAATTACTCCTAGTTAATTTTGAGACAGGAAGGCTTTGATGTGAGGAGTTTAGCTAAGCACCGAGTTTTCTTCCTCATATTTTCAAACCTTTGATTTATTTTAAGTCCACTGAAGGTACAAACACTAAGTACTCAGACACCAAATAACAGCTTTCATCAACAAGGTGACAGCTTGCTCCTGATGTTTAGGTAATTAAAAGATCTATCTGTGAGGTGCTGCTTTTGCCAACATGAAAGTCTTGTGCCTGGGTGACTTCTACAGGATCCAACCCTCTGACATGTGTTCTATTGATCTCCTAAGAGAGCAGCAATTAATTCCAGGTGTCTCTTTGGGCAAAGGCGTGTTGCTGGCTCATTTGTGAAACTGCATGTTTTCTAACAAGTCTCCTTGCTTTTCCACACTCAAAGGCAGTGCATTCACTTTCTAATGATGAGTGTGCTATGAATCCAAGTGTTCTCTACCAGGTATTTGCTGCAACTCTCCAGTGTCTCTCAGGCCTTACCTGAGTGACCTTGGAAAGTTTTTCAGTCTCAATTTTCTCTCTTTTAAATGTAAATAGTACTTTGCTCCTTATTGCCTCACCAGTATACTAGTGAGGGAAAGGGGGATTTAAAATAAAATACTGCAAAAGTCATAAAGGTAAATGTAAGATCCTAGAACAATGTACCGAAGACAGGTAGGCTCCCCCAGGGATAATTTGTCACATTAATGTCAAATCTTCAATACTGTAGCATGTACAGAAACAATTATTTTGACTAAATTGTTTGAAAGGAAGACAAGAATAAAGTACTTAGGAGATAAAAAAATAATAAAGTAACAAAAAATAAATAAATCAGAATATTTGCATTATTTTTTTCCCTCTCAAGATTAAAGAAAAAGCAAGAATTATGTATATTTTTAATATGGGTTATAGTAAATCACAAGGAAATAAAGAGAAACTCAGAAAAATAGAAAAAATATTCCTAGGTTCATTCTAGGGTTGCTTTTACCTTCTTTGTTTTCACACCATAATTTTTATACAGTAGTTATTACCAAGAGAAATTATTTGGCTTTGAATGAAAAAGCAAAGGAAGAAAATATTCCTCAGTTGTAAGATAGCTTTGATGATAAGATGTACATTTCAAATTATATGCCTTCCCTGATACATTTTCCACTTATTATCTAAAAATTCCCTTATAGCACTGCTTATTCAATCTGAATCCAAAGAAATAATGTATTTTAAATACAGTTTTTTTAAGTAATAAGAATTCTCAAGGAATTTGAAGCTATCTCAATGTATTAATAATTTTCACATGTAGGATCAAAAGGCTTTGATTCTCATTAAATGCTTGGGAAATTGCCTAGACCACTCAATTTACCTCAATATTTAGCTGTTCCTTTTTTAAGACTTATTGGTGGACAGATATGAGAGCAACATTGTGTCAATCAGAAGAAACACTTCTGAATTCTTGATTTTTAATCTATATTTTAGTATAAGTAGCTATTTCATATTCATCTTCCATAATTTGCTTCATTTTGCATTTTTTATTGTGGTGATTTTGACTTTGGAAAAGATTAACTAGAAAAATGGGAGTTTATCACTGGGCTTAATGAGATTTCTTAGGGTAACTTTGATTTTTCTACTGGTGACTTATAGGAAAATTAGGTACCTCCAAAGGCAGCAATCTCTTCCCATATGTCAAGGCAAGTATCTGTATGGTGGTGCCAAAGGAAAAAAAAAATAGATCTCCAATTTAAAAAAAAACTGTTTAATTAAAAATCAAGTGTTTTGAAGGAAATTTTTGTAGCCAATTATACAAGCAATGAATTAATAGTAAAGATGTTCAGAAAATATTTTTTGAAAGATGAGTTACAGCAGGCCAAAGATGGGAAACTCAAACTAAGGACATGGTTAGTCTTGATTCAACTATTTTAAGTGTATTTTCAGAGGAAAGATAAATTCATGTATTCTACTCTTCTAGACAAAGCTACTGTGTTCTGAGGTTTCATAATTTCATTCTTCTAGGCCTGACTAAATGATCTGTTTTCTGTGCTCTCAGATATAAAAATTTTGCTAATGCCAAGAGCTAAAATGCTGAAACTTCATCTCTTACTAACTTTCACATTTCAATTTATTCTTTAAAGGAAAATGACACATCTTTTTTGGTCTCAGGCTACATCAGAACTAACGACTTCCCACCTCTGGGTGGGGTGAGATCCATCTCAGGAGGCAAGTGATATGACAGAAGAAAAGGTGAGACCTCCAGCATGAATTTTAACACAATCTCTGGTATAGAGGATACTAATGGCATAAACATATTGAAATGTCCCTGAATTTAAGTTGAGAAATAGGGCAACAAAAAGATGTTCTTAAAATCAACACTTCCTTTGAGTAACAATAAATAGGATATTAATTTCTGTTATTGCATAGAGTTAAAATGGTAGGTATGTATTTTAATTTAAAAAAAATATTTCCTGGGAAATAGTGAGGAATGGGGCAGTAGAATAAGTATGGCATTAATAAAGTTAACTCTCATTGGTGTGTTATTATATGTTTTATTCTTCATTCATTTAGCAATTATCTATCAAGTGTTTCCTGTAAGTATAATAATAGCTAATATTAATTGTATGCTTATGATGGTCCAGACATTGTAATAAACATATATACAAACTGACATATTCAGTCTTCTTAACAATCTATGAGATTGGTACATTTTTAACACCATTTTTTCAGATGAGAACACTGAGGCAGATGGAAATAATTGATTTTAAATTACATGTGTAGTGAATGGTGGAGCTTCAATTCTCATCCAGGCAGTCTGGCTCTGAAGTCCACTATACTTTTTGGTATAGGGATAGATAGGGGTATTTCCTCAGCTTTCAAAGAGTCTAAGCCCTAGAAAGGGATAAGTGGGATTTAGAAATTCTCAAGGAATACTGAAGAAGAATAGGAAAAGGAAATGTGAAAAAGCAATATTGCCTTCCCAAAGCTCATATTCTCCCCAAGGGCAGGGAAGGACATGTGAACAAATGCAGACATATAAATAATTAAACCTAATAAAGTGTTAGATAATGTGTTAGTGTTCTGTAGCACTCAGTGGAGGCACAGGGGAGAATGTAACCAGTCTAATCACAGGTGTCAAGAAGAGTATAAAAGTTTGAAAGTAGGTGATCCCTAGGTGACTGAGAGGGTAAGGGCACATCAAAGGGAAAAAAATCAAGAGAAGCGAGTACTAAGAAGAAATAAACAAAAGTCTGATAGAGCATGAAATGGCCTGGCAGACTGAGAGTAGCATGAACAACTTTCTGGAGCATGGAGAGTGGGATGGACATCTATTCCAATGTAGAATTTCAACATAAGGAAAAAAGGATCACTAAGGTAAAGGAATAGGTGAAATACTGTTTACTTGTCCTGCATGAAAATTCTCGGCCATGGTGTATATGTGCCACATTTTCTTAATCCAGTCTATCATTGTTGGACATTTGGGTTGGTTCCAAGTCTTTGCTATTGTGAATAGCGCCGCAATAAACATACGTGTGCCTGTGTCTTTATAGCAGCATGATTTATAATCCTTTGGGTATACCAGCATGGCACATGTAGACATATGTTTGTTACATATGTATGTATGTATGTATGGTATGTTGTGCACATGTACCATATGTATGGTACGTTGTGCACATGTACCCTAGAACTTAAAGTATAATAAAATATATATATATATATAAAGAAAATCACCAAAAAAAAAAAAAGAAAATTCTCAGCCAAACACAAATTCTCTATAAAAGGAGGGAGGGACTTTTTTAAAACCTAAGTCTTCTGTAATAGACTTCTATATACGTATATATTTGCACTATGAAGTCACTTCTGCCAATGCATAATTTATTCATTCAGCGTTTAGTCTTTCCAAACTACTGGAGTTCACTTACTATGTTCAAGGCAGTGGGCTAGGAACCTTAAAAGATATGAAGGTTAATCGTGAATCGCATGTCTCCTCTGGACACGTGAATTCTTGTAGGCACAGCTATGGCATGTTGGCTAATATCCATTCTAATAGGTTGGTGCCCATGCAAAACTGGTTGTTAAATATTTTAAATATGAGTCATGCTTGTATATAAGTTGGCTTATACAAGAGTGTGCTGAAGCGTACTCAGACAACATCATGGTGGATTTTTAAGAATTACATGAATCGTTAGTTGTTAAACACAACTGGTATTAAAAGTTAAATACTATAAACTTAAAATTAAGTAAGTTATATAAAAAGAAAGAAAATAATCACAACTAATTATTTCTTCTACATTTTCTATTATCTACAGTCTTGAAGTTATTGTTGATTGTATCTGTATTACGGAAATGCTATATAATCATATGCCACTTGCTATGCATCTTCTCCCAAATTCATATTCAGTGATGTCAGTTTGATAGCTTAAAATTACCATAGTAGGAAGATTTATGTCATGGAAATTGGAAAATCTGTATATTAGGTCTGATTATTAAACATTTATCAGCCCACCTCTGCTCATTCATAAAATAGCAATATGAAGTGTATTATCATGTGTCCTTCCCAGCCTCAGTTGGAATTTATCAGTACCCCAACCGACCATCACAAATTAGAAGCTCAAGCTCTAATCTCCCTGTTGGTAATATAAGCAAGTCTAGGATAAACCCTGTTATCCAGCATACCATGTAATCAGAGTTTTCTGGAACAATGGTTCTCAACCC
Source organism: Homo sapiens (assembly GCF_000001405.40). Classification (NCBI taxonomy): domain Eukaryota; kingdom Metazoa; phylum Chordata; class Mammalia; order Primates; family Hominidae; genus Homo; species Homo sapiens. Next base: position 58,117 of record NW_019805488.1, on the reverse strand, counting down.
TGGATATACATTGGAATCATCTAAAGGGTTTAAAAAACAATAAAATTCCAATGCCTGGGTCTATCCCAGACAATTTGAATCAGATCACCTGCCAGTGAAAACTGGGCATCCATCATCTATCTATCTGTCTATCTATCTATCTATCTATCTATCTATCTATCTATCATCTATCTATCTATCTATATTTTTTTGAGACAGAGTCTCACTCTGTCACCCAGGCTGGAGTGCAGTGGCACGATCTCAGCTCACTGCAACCTCCCCATCCCAGTTGAAGTGATTCTCCTGCCTCAGCCTCCCAAGTAGCTGAGATTACAGGTGCCTGCCACAATGCCCAGCTAATTTTTGTATTTTTGAGGAAACAGGGACCAAAGCCAATTCTTTTAGTACAGACGGGGTTTCACCATGTTGGCCAGACTGGTCTCGAACTCCTGACCTCAGGTGATCTACCCGACTCAGCCTCCCAAAATGCTGGGATTACAGGCATGAGCCACCACACCGGCCTTATATTTTTAAAATATGTGTATTTTCAAGATGATTGTAATTGTGCAACCAAGGCTGAGAAACTGCACACGAACTTACAGGAAAACTGGGTGTTGCGTGAGTAAGTTATCTTCTGCTGCTAGGAGAAGATATATTCTACCTCCCACAAAGTAAGCATGGAGCAAAACAAGTGGCTATTAGAAACTGGTCCAGAGGTCATGCTTAAACAGCAGAGGTAAAACCAGGGTTTTCTGCTAACTATCCCATCACCCTCTTTTCCCTCAGCCAGGAATAATGCCCTTTCACAGCAGTTCTTTGTTCAATAAATGCCCGCTACCACCTCCCTAGGCTGTAGACTAAGGAAGGGCAACCAGGTCAGAATTGGTTTTGGTGCCTGTTTCCTCAAAGACTTGTTATCATAGTCTTTCTTTGCTTCTTTCCAGGGAATCTATTTCAAACCCTTGAAACATAAAAGAATCTAATTTTGTCCCATTCATCAGGACAATGGGTCCTCTACTCTGCTCCTTCCTTTTCTAAGGAAGGCTACTGTTAGTCATTCCAAGGCACTGTTCTTTTCTTCTTTTCTAAGGGGACAGTGTTTTCAGTAAATCTCAGGAAGCTTATGGTCTTTTTGTTCTTTGGAAGAAAAATAACACAACTATTCTTCATAGAAAAAGTTACTTCACCAGGTAGAAAATATGAAAGAGATAAGTGTATCTGTTTTTGTCTCTCTGTACCTTCAAATCACTATTCACAATTCCACACTAGCTTATTTCTTATGCATAGGTATTATATGTCACTGCTTAAAAAAACACTCATTGTCCGTGGTGGACAAACTTTAAGATGACCCTCATGATCCCTACTTCCTGGAGTTTACAATTTCATATAATTCCATCCCCTTGAGGTCAGTGGGACTGTGACTTGCTTTTAACAAATAGAATATAGCAAAAATGATGGGATGTTCTTCCTGCGTTTCCATTATGTTATATAAAACTCTGTCTTATTATCAGACTTGCTTGAGTCTCTCTCTCCTTGCAGACTTTGAAAAAGCAAGAAACAGTCACCCAAGTGGGGAGGAAGATGCCTACCTAGTTGAGCCTCTGGATGAGAATCAAACCCTAGCTAACATGTCAATTGCAGGCTTTTCAGGTCCTTAACAGAAGATCCAGCTAAATAATGCCTATACTTCTGACCTGTGAGATAGCAAATGAATTTTGCTTTAAGCTGCTAAGTTTGTGGTAAATCTTTATGCAGTATAGAAAACTAATACGGTCACCTTTGAAATAAATTTCCAATGCTTTATTGTGGCATTCAAAGCCCTTAATGGTTGGTTCTATTTTTTTTTTTTTTTTCTAATTTCCTCTCTTGCCAGTGCAGTGACCCAATCACCTACAAAACATCCTGGCTACATTTACATTCTCATTCTCTTGCTCCTGTTATTTTCTCTGTTTAGAATTTCCTTTCTTTCTCCCTCCCTCCTTCTCTCCTTTCCTTCCTTCCTTCCTTGCTTCCTTTCTTTCTTCCTTCTTACCTTCCTAGTGAGCAACCATTTACCCTTAGAAGTCAAATATAATAACCACCTCTAGGCTGCCTATAAAAGTACTTGCTACTCAATGCCCCCTAAAGGTCAACTTGATTGATTCTTTTTTGTGGTCTCATAATATTTCCTGTGTAGCTCTCCTATGGTACTTATCATGTTATTTCCACATTAATTTTTATGTTTTTCCTGTTATAGTGTGAGTTCCCTGAGACTGGGCACTGTATATTATTTATCCGTAGATCCCCAGAACCTGGACTAGTGCTTTGACATACATCTGGCATCCAATAAATGTTTGTTAAATTGAATCAAACTGAATCGATATTCCTAAAGGTAGAGAGTTTTATTGTTTGGCACATCATAGGCATTTTAAAATGAGTATTCTGTGTATAATTGCTTACATTTTTTAACCACATTATCTATTCTGGCAAAGAATCATTAAAGGCTGTAGGCTGCTTTAATGAGATAGGGGCAATTCAGGCAACAAGAAATTACCTAATGGGTTTTGCTGATAACATTAAGGGCTAGCAATTCTACTTCGTAATTATATGATGCTTAGAGGAGGGTTGAATAAATACATAGAATCATAACATTGGGATGCAGGAGAAAGTGATCCAACTAAGAATCTGATAGAAGAATGCATGTAATTATGTTTTTGAAAGAAAGTAATACATAGAGAATCAATCCAAAGAAATGAAAAGCTCACTTCCAGTAAGTAGCACAACTCAGCATTCTGCAATAGACTAGCTACCAAAGTACTTTGGGGTTGAGTAGATAACCCCTAGAATGACCTGACAATATAATAGTGTATGATAGATTCATTGCAGGAAGTGAAAGTAGAATCTATGGAGGAGGAGGTAATCCCAGCAGTATATTAGAGATACGATTCTCAAAATCATAAAAACTAAAGGCTAAAATCTTTGAACTGCAGGTGTTGATCTCTCCTAGGTTTAAGAAGTTTTTCACTGGAAGTGAAACAAAAGAATGGTGTGATCAGTACATGACTTGAATATCTGGGCCAATCCTAAATTAAAAATTGTAAATAATGAACAACATGAGGTATGGCAAGAACCTCCCAGAATATTGCTCTCCACTCTCTAAATTTTCAGTGATACATTTCCCCAGAATTTGTTGGAAGCCCAATAGCTCCAATTAACCACTATAACCTTTGCAGAAGTGGAAAACTAAAATATTTGCTCCTCTTCTGAGGGGAATTTTGTCTCTGTTTTAATTCTGGAATGAATATAGAGACTCCTATCAATGTGAAGCTTCAGTCTAAACATGCATTTTGAGCCCTGTAACTTGCTAGATGTATCATCCTTGGCAAGCATTAAAGTTCTCTAAACTTCAGCCTCCTCATGTGAAAAACAATAACGACAACTTGTTGTACTACGGCTACAAATAGACACCTAATATCTTATTTTGGACATCAAATAAGCCTAACACATTCTGGTATACAGTAAAATACTTCAGATATATTTGTTCTTTCTCTCTTTTTTATATATTAGATTTTTGAGAGTAACTACATTAGGATTTGGATTTACTATTAAAAATTCAAGGTTTATAAAGAGCCTGGCCTCAAATGTTCAGGGTGACCTTGCTCCCACATTTTCTATGAAGCCTAAGGGTTGACCCATCTTCTCTTCTATCTCTGCTCCTATCTATCTTTTGAGACTGTTGGAATGAATCCTGGAAACATACTCTTCTTTCCCTAAATTTTTTTGACTGTTTTGAGGATGTTTGTAAGACTTTAACTGGGTTGCAATGTGGTCAACTTGTAGCTCTGATAACCAGAAACTAAGTTGAAACAAGAAATTCTTTAGGTTATATTGCTCTTTATTCCCTGGTCTGTATCTTTCTACTAAACTTGTGATGTTTTGTAGAAAACAGACTATATCAGGAACAACAAAGAATCACCAAATGCTGCACAATTGACACTGAGAGTACAATTCTCATTTGAACTAGTGACCCAGAAGTGGCAATTGTTTGCCAGGAACTCTTTGTTTAACATCAAAGCATAACAAGCTAACACCAGAAGTGTGCGGTCTTCTGCATTTTTTTTTTAAAAAAACAAAACAAAACAAAAAAAACTTCTGAAGGAAAAGAGATACAGAAGATAACTATCAGTTTAATTCTAGTTCTTATTAAAACACACATACACACACACACACACACACACACAAAGAATGTTAAGTTGAATTATTTTCCTAAATAATTATTTTGGAACAAGAAAATGATGATGACATGTTTATTATTTCCTCATTCAAGATGATAAATTATAACATAATTCATTAATTTAACTGTCTCTGAATTGCTTTAGTTAAGGTATAAAATTCTTACAACTTAAAAAATTCAACAACTTCAACTATACTATCATGTTTAATCAGTTTTTTGGTTTTATAATATTTTACTTTAGACAAATTTCAAATTAAAATAAATGAATAATACATTAATGAGATTTAATGACTCTTAGAGATGAGGTTTCTGGCACTTTCCAGAGTAAAAAAAGAAAACTAAAAGATTTATCTCAGTCTTGGCAACATGAAAATTACAGAAAGAAAATTTAGTTCAGATTAAGAAGACTTTTGTTCTTTTGTCTCCACCATTATTATCTCTGTGATTTTAGCCAAACCACTTAACATTCTGTAAAATTGAGATGTTATTTTCAGCCCGGTCTACCTCTCATGATTTTTGTAAATATTACATATACAGAGACACTTTAAATTGTAATATGTATAATATTATATGATTGTTTTTATGCTGGTTGCTAAATATAGGCTCAAATTTCCTTCATTATAATGTATTTCAACCATTCAATTTTTATTTCATAAATTGAAATCCAAGTAGATATCTGCAGAGTACAATGGAAACTATACAAGTATGTAAGGCAATCGACTTGGTAAAATATTGAGGGATCATTGCTGGAAACTACTCTTAAACCATTTCGTGTAGCCACAGCCACAAATCTTGCACCACAGACATTGATCAAGCCAGAGAATGGGGTTGTGATTAGAATGGCATACCTATGGAACTGATGGGAAATTAATTTTGGAGCAAAGATTTCCTATCTAATAAGACAAGGAGAAAAGTTTATTTGAAGTGGTGCAGTCAATTGTTTATCAGAAATTTGGGTTATAGATTCATGTAAGAATTAACTTGTTATAAGTTGGTTGGACCTGCCTCACACATTCTATTCAACACAGAAATTCAAGATAGGCAGTATTTCTTTTAATTATCAGCATGGGATATGGAAGACTTATAATAGGATTCCAGTTTGATAAATGGTATAATTTTGAAGTTATTAAGTAATGTGTGTTCTTTTCTTTTCTGCTTTTTTCTCCTTCCTCTTTTCTACAACTGTTGAGTCTATAAAAATGAAAATTCCAGTTCACTAAATCTCTCTTTAGCTAGAGATATTCTAGTCTGCAGCCTTACTATTCCATTGAGCTTTTAAGTTACTCTCTTTTACATTTTAAAACTCCATTTGGTTAGTTTGCAAATCTGTGCAACAAAACTTTATAGTTATTCGTTTTCTTCCTGTATTTTCAAGTTTGTCTTTTATTTCTCTAAATAGTAGTAAGCATAAATTTTTATAAAATACACATTTTTAGTGTCTTCTCTCTAATTCTGTTGCCTTTTTTGGGGGGTGATATTCTCACTTGTGGTGACTGGTTTCCTTGGTGCTAAAATTTTTAACTATTAGCTATTCAATTTTATTAGAAAATTATTTAGGGAAATTATTTTTGGCCTAATATTATGGTAGGTTTCCCTGGAAGGGATTAATGTTGCTTTTACCAGATATTTTGGAGCATATCTAACTAAAGGACATATTAATTTAAATGGATACTTTGAGGTTTTCTGGAGCACACAGATGGTATAAAATTGAGTTGGAAACCCATGTAAGGGATGGCTTTCAGTGGCAGGCCTTTTCCCCTCTGCTCTCCTCAACAATAAAGCATTATATATCTCAATTTATTATTTACAATAATAAGTAAAAATGACAAACAGGTTTGGGAACAAACACAATTGACTCATGGTAAGTATTCAACTCGACTGGTATGGGCATTAGTCATTAAGATTTACAGAGTTTCTGGAGCAAGTTGCTTCGTCTAGCAAGTCTGGTGAGTTTAGGTAACATAATTCTTCCTACCTTTCAGTTTGGCTGGACTCCAGGGGAATTAAGGTGAAATTACATGACCTAAGAATAAACAGGTTGGTTGGGAAACAAATCATGAAATATCTGAATTGTTGTTAGGATTTATGGGTACTTTTGAGTTGGTTATGGAAAATCATTAACATTTGTGTAGTTTTTGCTTTAGAGTGGAATAAAATGAGAGCTCTTCCTAAAACTAGTTCACCAAAATGAATAGAAATGCTTTAATTTTAATTATTTATGGAAATGTGGAGATAAAATTATCAGAGTTCTATTACAGTAAGTCGGATGAGAAAGAAAGCTTTTCAAATAAGGTAATGTTCCTGAGAGTAAATAGGAGGGGCTGCTATGAAAGTCATTGTAGGGTTTCTGTAAAAGGCACTTAGCAAATGATAGTATCTATGAGAGAGAAGAGTCAGAGATAAATAACGTCTATCATCAGTAACAAACCATGGCCTTAATCATGGGGCATCACACCATCCCAATCACTGTGTTACCAACTCATTAAGATTAAAGGCAACTATAAGGAACTAAGTGATAATAGATCAATCATCTCTTAAAGGAATGAATGAATTCTCAAAGTCTAGGACTGGAAAATATCAAGACAGAATCTGTTTTCTTGTTTTCCAACGTCAGTTCACATGAACTTGGGAAAAAACCTTCAGATAGATAGATGATAGATAAAATGAAAGACAGAGAGATTTATTTCAGCATGAGAGAGTCTTTCCTATTTGATGTTTATTTCTTTTACTTCATTAGTAATTTGTTAACAACACTAAGTATATATTTACATTGTAAAAGACATGGTAGGGGCTATATGTTAAAATGTCTGGTCAAAAGTAAATAAACTTCCTTAATTGCATTTATAATTGTTATTATGACTACTTCCACTTCCACTCTCTCTGGGAAGGTAAAACTTCTTACAGGTTAAAAAAGGAGGAAAAAAATACCCATAAAATATCTCCCTGCTTAGTAAAACAGCTGCTGCTCCTGACTGCTTCAGTTTATGGTTGAATAAAAATTAAATACATGATACCCTGAAGAAAATTTTTCAATTACATAAAATGAATAAACCATGAAGACAGAATGAGCTACCACCAACTTATCATACATTACTTTCACAAAATAATTTATATTATTTTATTTTCTTCAATCTTAATTTTAAGACAGAGCCTATAACTGTGCAATGTAAGTGGAACATTTTTATATATTAATTATTAATTATGTGACGATCAACCTAGTCATTTAAGTGACAATGCAAATTTATCCTTAATATGACTGGAAGTACAGATTGACTATACACCCTCTGTGCCTTTGTTTTCTCTTTTGGATTTAACTACCATATGGCTTGTGACAACCAGGAAAAGTGAAATAATTTACTAGGTTTAAAGATCAGACATGTTTAATACTTGCACATTATACGCAATCATATAGTTTGTTTTGGTCTTGTAATTGTAAGTGTTCTTTTTATGTTCTACGACTCTAGGCTAACTATGTCACATTCCTAAAATGGATACATGGATTATTTTCTTTTTTTAAATTTTTATTTCAAAACTAGGAAACAGGTGGTGGTTGGTTGCATGGAAAAGTTCACTAGTGGTGATCTGAGATTTTGGTGCACCCACCATGTGAGCAGTGTACACTGTACCCAATGTGTTGTCTTTTATCATTCACCTACCCAACCCTAACCCTGAAGTCCCCAAAGTCCATTATATCATTGTTATGACTGCATTCTCATAGCTTAGCTCCTGCTTATAAGTGAGAACATATGATGTTTGGTTTGCCATTCCTGAGTTACTTCACTTCTTAGAATAATGGTCTCCAACTCCATCCAGGTTGCTGCAAATGCCATTATTTTGTTCCTTTTTATGGCTGAGTAGTATTCCATGATGTGTGTGTGAAAATATATATATATATATATATATATATATATATATATATATATAACTTTTTTTATCTCCTCATTCATTGGTTGATGGGCATTTAGGCTGATTTTTTTATTTTTGCAATTGTGAATTGTGCTGCTATAAACATGCATGTGCAAGTCTGTTTTTCATATAATGACTTCTTTTCCTCTGGGTAGATACCCAGTAGTAGGATTGCTGAATCAAATGGTAGTTCTACTTTTAGTTCTATAAGGAATCTTCATACTGTTTTTCATAGTGGTTGTACAAGTTTACATTCCCACCAGCAGTGTCCAAGTGCTCCCTTTTCACCACATCCATGCCAACATCTATTATTTTTTGATTTTGGTCATTCTTGCAGGAGTAAAGTAGCATCACATTGTGGTTCTGATTTGCATTTCCCTGATCATTAGTGATGTTGCACATTTTTTCATATGTTTGTTGGCCATTTGTATATCTTCCTTTGAGAATTGTCTATTCATGACCTTAGCGTAATTTTTGATGGGATTATTTGTTTTTACTTGCTGATTTGCTTGAGTTCCTTATAGATTCTGTATATCAGTTCTATGTCGGATGCACAGTTTGTGAATATTTTCTCCCACTCTGTGGGTTGTCTGTTTACTGTGCTGATTATTTCTTTTGCTGTACAGAAGCATTTTAGTTTAATTAAATCTCATCTATTTATCTTTGATTTTGTTGCATTTGCTTTTGGGTTCTTCGTCATAAACTCTTTGCCTAAGCCAATGTCTAGAAGAGTTTTTCCAAAGTTATCTTCTAGATTTTTTAGGTTTCAGGTCTTAAATTTAAGTTTTTGATCCATCTTGAGTAGATTTTTGCATAAGGTGAGAGATGAGGATGCAGCTTCATTCTTCTACATGTGGCTTGCCAATTATCTCAGCACCATTTGTTGAATCGGGTATCTTTTCCCCACTTTACGTTTTTGTATGCCTTGTTAAAGATCAGTTGGCTATAAGTATTTGGATTTATTTCTGGGTTCTCTATTCTGTTCCATTGGTTTACATGCCTATTTTTATGCCAGTACTATGATGTTTTGATAACTATAGGCTTGTCCTATAGTTGGAAGTGGGGTAACATGATGCCTCCATATTTGTTCTTTTGGCTTAGTCTTTCTTTGGCTATGAGGGCTCTTTTTTGTTCCATATGAATTTTAAGATTGTTTTTTCTACTTCTGTGAATAATGATGACCATATTTTGATGGGAAATGCATTGAATTTATAGAATGCTGTGGGCAGTATGGTTATTTTCACACTATTGATTCTACCCATCCATGAGCATGGGATGTGTTTCCATTTGTTTGCATCATTATGATTTCTTTCAGTAGTGTTTTTTAGTTTTCCTTGCAGGGATCTTTCACCTCCTGGTTAGGTATATTCCTTTTTAAAAAAAAATATATACTTGAAGTTATGGGTTACATGTGCAGAACGTGCAGTTTTGTTACGTAGGTATACACGTGCCATGGTGGTTTGCTGCAACCATCAACTCATCATCTACATTAGGTATTTCTCCTAATGCTATCCCTCCCCTACCTCCCCACCCCCTGACAGGTCCTGGTGTATGTTTTTCCCCTCCCTGTGTCCATGTGTTCTCATTGTTCAACTCCCACTTATGAGTGAGAACATGTGGTGTTTGGTTTTCTGTTCTTGTGTTAGTTTGCTGAGAATGATGGTTTCCAGCTTCATACATGTCCCTGAAAGTTTGGGGGGCTGACTGGGTATATTCCTAAGTATTTTGTTTTATTTTTTGCAGCTGTTGTAAAAAGGGTTGAGTTTTTAATTTTATTCTCAGCCTGGTTGCTATTGGTGTATAGTAGTGCTACTGATTTGTGTACATTGATTTTGTTTTCTGAAACTTTACTGAATTTGTTTATCAGATCTAGGAGTTTTTTTGGACAAGTAGGGTTTTCCAGGTATACGATTAATCATTGGCAAACAGCAACAGTTTGACTTTCTCTTTGGATTTGGATGCATTTTATTTCTTTCTCTTGTCTGATTTCTCTGGCTAGGATTTCCCATACTATCTTGAATAGAAATGGTGAAAGTGGACATCCTTGTCTTGTTCCAATTCAACTTTCAACTTTTCTCCATTTAGTACAATGCTGACTGTGGGTTTTTCATAGATGACTTTTATTACCTTGAGGTATGTCTCTTCTATGCTGATTTTGCTGAGAGTTTTAATCATAAAGGGATGCTGAATTTTGTCAAATGCTTTTCTGCAACTATTTGGATGATCATAAAATTTTTAATTCTCTTTATGTAGTATATCACATTTATTGACTTGCATGTGTTAAACCATCTCTGCATCCCTGGTATAAAACCCACTTGATCACGGTGAATTATCTTTTTGATATGCTGTTTGATTCAGTTAGCTAGTATTATGCTGAGGATTTTTGCATCTATGTTCATCAGGCATATTGGTCTGTAATTTTCTTTTATTGTTATGTCCTTTCCTGGTTTTGGTAATACAGTGATACTGGCTTCATAGAATGATTTGGGGAGAATTCCCTACTTCTCTATCTTTTGGAATAGTTTCAGTAAGATTCATACCAATTCTTTGAAGGCCTGATAGAATTCATCTGTGAATCCACTTGGTCCTGGACTTTTTTATTTGTTGGCAATTTTTAAATTTCTGTTTCAATCTCGCTGCTTGTTGTTGGTCTATTCAAAGTTTCTATTTCTTCCTTAATCTTGAAAGGGTTGTATATGTCCAGGAATTTATCCATCTTCTCTAGATTTTCTAGTTTGTGCATGTAAAGGTGTTCATAAAAGCCTTGAATGATCTTTTGTATTTCTGTGGTATTTGTTGTAATATCTCCCATTTTGTTTCTAATTGAGCTATTTGGATCTTCTCTCTTCTTTCCTTGGTTAATCTTGCTAATGGTCTATCAATATTGTTTATCTTTTCAAAAAACCAGCTTTTTGTTTCATTTATCTTTTGTATTGTTTTTCTTTTGTTTCAATTTCAGTTAGTTATGCTTTGATCTTTGTTATGTGTTTTCTTCTGCTGGATTTGGGTTTGGTTTGTTCTTGTTTCTCTAGTTCCTTGAGGCATTACCTTAGATTGTCTATTTGTGCTCTTTTAGACTTTTTGATGTAGGCATTTAATGCTATGAACTTTCCTCTTAGCACCTCTTTGTCTCTATCCCAGGGGTTTTCATAAGTTTTGTCACTATTATCCTTCAGTTCAAAGAATTTTTTAATTTCCATCTTGATTCCATTGTTGACCCAAAGATCATGCAGAAGCAGATTATTTTTCATGTTTTCTGTAGTTTCAAGGGTTCTTTGTGGAGTTAACTTCCTATTTCATTCCACTATGGACTGAGATGGTACTTGATATAATTTTGATTTTCTTGTATTTATTGACACTTGTTTTGTGGTCTATCATATGATCTATCTTGGAAAGTGTTCCCTGTGCTGATGAAAAGAATGTGTATTCTGCAATTGTTTTGTAAATATCTATTAAGCCCATTTGTTGTAGGGTATAGTTTAAGCTCATTGTTTCTTTGTTTACTTTGTCTTGATGACGTGTCTAGTGCTGTCAGTGGAGTACTGTAGAACCCACTATTATTGAGTTGCCATTTGTCTCATTATTTATGTCTAGTAATAATTGTTTTATAAATTTGGGAGCTCCCATGTTAGGTCCATATATATTTAGGATTGTGATATTTTCCTGTTGGACTTATCTTTTTATCATAATATAATGTCACTCTTTGTCTTTTTAAACTGTTGATGTTTTAAAGTCTTTATTGTCTGATATAAGAATAGCTACTCCTGCTCACTTTTGGTTTTCATTTTGCCTGGAATATCCCTTTCCATCCCTTTACCTTAACTTTATGTGAGTCTTTATGTGTTAGGTGAGTGTCTTGAAGACAGCAGATACTTGGTTGGTGAATGTTTATCCATTCTGCCATTTTCTATCTTTTAAGTGGGGCATTTAGGCCATTTGCATTCAACATTATTATTGAGATGTGAGGTAATGCTTTATTCATTGTGCTAGTTGTTGCCTGAATACCTTGATTATGTTTCATTGTGTTATTGTTTTATAGGTCCTGTGAGATATATGTTTAAGGAAGTTTTATCTTGCTGTACATTTGAGGTTTTGTTTCAAGATTTAGGACTTCTTTTGGCATTTCTTGTAGTGCTGGCTTGGTAGTGGTAAATTCTCTCAGCATTTGTTTGTCTGAAAAAGACTTTATCTCCCCCTCATCTATAAAGCTTAGTTTTGCTGGATAAAAATTTTTTTGGCTGGCAATTATTTTGTTTGAGGAGGCTAAAGATAGGACCCCAATCCCTTCTGGCTTACATAGTTTCTGCTGAGAAATCTGCAATCATTCTCATACATTTTCTTTCATAGGTTACCTGATGCTTTTGCCAAACAGCTCTTAAGATTCTTTCCTTCCTCCTGACTATGTGCCTGGCTTATGAAGTTTTTGCTATGAATCTCCCAGATGTTCTTTGAGCTTCTTGTATTTGGATGCCTAGATCTCTAGTGAGGCCAGGGAAGTTTGATTATTCCCTCAGATATGTTTTCCAAACTTTTTGATTTCTCTTATTCCTCAGGAACACCAATTATTTTTTGATTTGGCTATTTAACACAATCCCAAATTTCTTGGAGCCTTTGTTCTTTTTATTTTTTAATACTTTTTTATTTATCTTTGTTGGATTAGGTTAATTTGAAAGCCTTGTCTTTGAGCTCTGTGTTCTTTCTTCTACTCATTTGATTCTTTTGTTGAAACCTTCCAGTGCATTTTATGTTTCTCTAAATGTGTCTTTCACTTCCAGAAGTTGTGATTGTTTTTCTTTATGATATCTATTTCTCTGGATTATTTTTAATCCACATCTTCTATTGTTCTTAAAATTTCTTTAAGTTAGTTTTGACCTTTCTCTGGTATCTCCTTGAGTAACTTAATAATCAACCTTTGAATTCTTTATCTGGCAATTCAGAGATTTCTTCTTGGTTTGGATCCACTGCTTTGGACCTAGTGTGATCTTTTGGGGGTGTTAGACTACCCTGTTTTGTCATATTACAAGAATTACTTTTCTGGTTTCCTGTCATTTAAGTAAACTATTTCAGTGGAAAAACCTGGAACTCAAGAGCTGCTGTTTAGACTCTTTTGTTCCACAGGGTGGTCCCTTGATGTGGTGCACTCTCCCTTTCCCTAGGGATGGGGCTTCCTGTGAGCCAGACTGCAATGATTGTTATTGCTCTTTTGGGTCTATCCAACCAGTGAAGCTACTGGGCTCTGGGATAATGCTGGGACGTGTCTGCAAAGAGTCCTGTGATGTGATCTGTCTTCAGGTCTCCCAGCCATGGATACCAGCACCTGCTGTGGTGGAGATGGTAAGGGAGTGAAGTAGACTCTGGTAGAATCCTTGGTTGTAGCTATGTTTAGTGTGCTGGCTTTCTGGAATGCTGGTTATGCTAGCAATGAAGTTGTCACGTGGACAGATTCATGACCACTTGTTAGCCAGGATGTTGGAAGCAGTGGAACTAGCTGTTTCCTCCTTCCTTGGAGCATGGTTATTCTGTCACGAACTGCTATAATATCTTGAGTTGGTTGGCCTTCTGCCAGGAGGTGGTGCTTTCAAGAGAGCAGTAGCTGCAATAGTAGAAGCAGGATATAAGTTTGCCCTAAGTTGGCCAGGATAAGTGTTGGGTTTCTCAGGCAAGGGTGGTATCATTAAATCCCCAAGAGTTTATGTCTTTTGTGAATGGCTACTGGGGTGGGGAGAGAAATACCAACAAGTCGGGGAAGTGTTAGGTGAGTCTGGGCTCAGACTGTCCTTTGACGGTATTTGCTGCAGCCACTGTTGGGGATGTGAGCATAGTTCTGGGGCCAACTGGGTTATGTTCCATAGGGTTTTGTGGTGCGTTTGTTGTCAAGAAAGTGGGGGAAAGCAGTAGTGATAGGCCTCATCCAGCTCCCACATAGTTGGTGAGGCTGGTCTAGCTCTAGCCATGCGTAGAGCTTATCTCCAGGCAGCTTGTGCCTTGGACTCCGACCTAGCCCCAGGCTATACGTTTCCTTAAGAAACAAGCAAGCATGGCTTCCAGGCCATGCCCCTTCCTGTCTTCCCACACTTTCTGGGGCTCCTGCTCTCCTTTCTGCAGCAGTTCCTGTTCGTCTCTCTATTCTGCCCGAAAGTTTACACCCAGTGAAAATCATTACAAAGTTCATTTGGAAGCTCCTTTCACCTTGTGACCCCTCCCAAATTCTGACAGTGGCCTTCTCCAAGAGTCCCTCTGTATGATATAGTCAGGGATGGCTTCCCTGAGCTCCAGCTGGCGAATGCAAGTGCCTAGAAGGCTCTTCCCACTGCTGCTTCTACCTTTATATTTCACACTAAATTCATTTCAGCTCTCGATAGGGTTTAAGGTTAAATCCTTCTCTCGTAATCTGGATTTTTGAGTTCTCCAGTGGAGATGTGTGTTTGGAGGAGGAGTCAAGTGGGAACTGCATATTTGCCATCTTCCTTCTGCTACAAATGGATTATTTTCTTATGTCAGTAAATTCAGCCTAGCAATTGTACGCTCTAATTCTTTTAGTAAAAATCATCGATACTGTCTAATTTGTAATCTCAGTCTCAGAATTTTCTTTCCTAATGACTATTTTCCTTTTTGTTTCAACTCCACCTCTTAGGAGGGCCTCTGCATTTTTGAGTCGTGGCCAGTCTCAAGAAAGGGGAAGTTGTGAAGCTTGTCATTTCTTGTTTCTTTTTCTTCCTGCTCTCAACCACTATTTACGTAAACATATTTTCTACTCCTGGTATTCGGTGCCATTGAAGAAGGGGACTTGTCTTCTTCCATTTGGTACAAAAAAACAAGTGATATTTGCCTATCTGGCCTTTGAAGTTTTCTTGGGCAACATCCAGTTTGACTTCATCAGTTTGTAAGGTCCTGCACAGGACAGACTCTTCTCCCTCCATCCCCTGCCAGTACTCCTCCTCCATGTCACGTCACCTTCCCAGGTTCAGTGCCCACATGTGGCTAAATGAACATCAGGGCAAATCAAAGTTCCTTCTTCAACTGCCTCTATGTTCCCTCTTGTATAGTCAAAGGATTCAGCTGTGTGTTCCTGAGTGGGAAGTAGGTTAGACAGCGCATCTCGACTATCAAGAAGAGTAACCTGTTTCACTGAGCATTCTATGATACCATTTCATCACAAATAGGTTGGATACAACCCCATTTTTCAAGTTTAATGAAATACTGCTTCTGTTGTTCTTATTGGAAGGCTGCAACAATTAGACGGCAGAGAATGTAAAGAAAGAAAAGCATTTTGGTAACTTTTTTTTTAGACTGAGTTTCACTCTTGTTCCCCAGGCTGGAGTGCAATGGTGCTATCTTGGCTCACTGCAACCTCTGCCTCTTAGGTTCAAGCGATTCTCCTGCCTCAGCCTTCTGAGTAGCTGGGATTATAGGGATGCGCCACCACGCCCAGCTAATTTTTTTTTTTTTTTTAGTAGAGATGGAGTGTCTCCATGTTGGTCAGGCTGGTCTCAAACTCCTGACCTCAGGTGATCCACCTACCTTGGCCTCCCAAAGTGCTGGGATTACAGGTGTGAGCCACTGTGCCCAGCCGCACCATGTTATAAATGCTTAAGGAATCAGTGTATATCCAGCTTTGTTCTTCATTCATGTAATCTATAATTACACTAAAGTTATTTTCGATTTCTTTAATAGATCATTACATTTCTCTGGTATAAATCATTGCTATGATTTTCACAAATCTGCACTTTACATTAGTTGAAAAGATATAGCCATCAGTTTTCCAGCTTCCTAACTACATATATTTTAAAGTTCATTCTGGGTGCCTGCCAAGTTATTTTCGAGATTCTGATTATTAGTTCACATTTGAATTTATATTACCCTTCAACCAGAACTTTGCCATAAGAAGCAGCTCTGATTTGGAGATGTGTAGTTTGTTAAGTCTCATTTTTTCTTCTTTAATGTCTCAGAAAGATATTGCTTCCTACAAATTGGCAATGTTACTTTTGGAAAGAGATGCAAAGGATCCAAGGTCACCTTGGGGGCTTTAAAATAAGTTGTCTGATAATTTGCCAGGGGAAATTTCAAATGCCCATGGTTCACACTGCTAAGTACATGACCTTTTCATCAGTTTTTGCTCCTGTAATTATGTTGTTGAATTCCTCATTTATAAATTATATATACTTATATCCCATGGTGGATACATATTTGTGTGTATGTGTGTGTGTGTGTAATTTATAGCAATATCCTTTCAAATTAGTAAATGAAAGGAATTTTTAAGTAATTTCATCATCTCAGAAAAGGCGATCTTTTAAACCTGATTTCAATATAATTTGTTATTCGAATCAATTTAAAAATCATAAGATTTTTCTGCTCAGATGATCATTAGCATTTTTTAGCAACAAAATAAGGTATGCACATTGTTTTCTTAAGACACAATGCTATTGCACACTTAATAGACTACAGTATAATGTAAACATAACTTTTGTATGCACTGGGAAACAACAACAAAAGAAAAATATATTGTCATCCTATATAAAGCAAATTGACAGAAGTGGGATTAGCTATTTGTGTACTTGCCACACAGGCATTTTCTCACTTCTGCCAGTCTTGAAGCCCATGACTTTAATGACTCCATAACTGCAATCCCAGCATCAACCATCCTCAGCAAGCTGCACCTAATATCACCCACATCCCATAACAAAATGAGAAATTTGAATTGTATTGGTGCTTGGTAGTCATAGAAACTCTTAGTTCAGGTATTTCCAATACTGGCTGTAAATCAGAATCCTATGTACAGTGTCTGAAAAATTATCTAAAACTGGGAAGTAAGGTAAAAAAATGGATGATACATGTTTTCAGTGTTATATAAGGGCAAAGACTACTGAAAATCATTTTGGGAAATAACCTAAATCAACCTAATAAGCTTAGTTTTATTCTCTATTACCTCTGATTAAACTCGCAGATGTAGAAAAGTTACAGGTTAGCTAGTAAACTTTTGTCTCATACAGATACAAATAATTTGTCCTGTGAAACACATAACCCTAGAGATGGTATTTCATGGCTATGGTGGACATTAATTAATTTACTAAACTGCTCAATGACCCTGTCCTCCTATACATAGCCTAGCTTCTCAGATGCTCTTTGAATCAATAATACTATCATTAATATATAATGTTAATGAAACCCTTATTAATTAATAAGTTAAATAAAATTTTGACATGTGTTTATATTATTTGCCTTAGAGTCATGACTTTTAAGCTATTGGACAATTACAGTTTAACAATCACTTTCAGACTATGTGGATATCTGAGCCATGTCACAGGCTTCCAACATTTGCAGGACACTATCCATGAGCCCATAGATTTTCCAGAATAACATTAAGGAACATCCAGCAAAATGATGAAGTCTGTGATGCCGTGTTCTAATTTCTTCTACTCATACCCAGTTCATGCCTCAGTCTTGTTAAAGGCTCCATCTAGCATGCCTTTCCTCATCTTCAGGAGCCATTTAAATATAACCTGCTCTGAGTCTTGCTTTATTCCTAGCCACCTGTACTCCAGAAAAAGTTAATTTCACTCTTATTGCAATCTGATAGTATTTTACTTACTTTTTTATTGTATAGTAAATTTTGTTCTTTTTTTTTTTTTTGAGATGGAGTGTTACTCTGTTGCCCAGGCTGGAGTGCAGTGGCTTGATCTCAGCTCACTGCAACCTCCGCCTCCTAGGTTCAAGTGATTCTCCTACCTCAGCCTTCCTAATAACTGTGATAACAGGTATGTGCCACCACGCCCAGCTGATTTTTGTATTTTTTTTTTTTTTTTGAGACATAGTCTCACTCTGTTGCCCAGGCTGGAGTGATGATGATCTCAGCTCACTGCAAACTCCTCCTCCCGGGTTCATGCCATTCTCCTGCGTCAGCCTCCCAAGTAGCTGGGACTACAGGCACCCGCCACCACGCCTTGCAAATTTTTTGTGTTTTTAGTAGAGACGGGGTTTCACCATGTTAGCCAGGATGGTCTTGATCTCCTGACCTCGTGATCCGCCCACCTCGGCCTCCCAAAGTGCTGGGATTACAGGCATGAGCCACCATGCCTGGCCAATTTTTGTATTTTTAGTAGAGACAAGGTTTCACCATGTAGGTCATGGTTGGCCAGGCGGGTCTCAAACTCCTGAACTCAGGTGATCCGCCTGCCTGGGCCTCTCAAAGTGCTGAGATTACAGGCGTGAGCCACCGTGCCCGACTTCATGTTTAGCACTGTCATTAAACAATCATTTACTTAGGTAGAAATCATGTCTTAGTCATTTCTTTTCAGCCAGCTCTTAACCCACTGGCAAGACAATGTATACAAAATGCAAGTATGCTGACAAAGTCACTCAAGGAACAAATAACAAAGGAACAAGTTGATAATCGAAAGGGTACACTCATAGTTACACTAAGGCAAATAGGTCAATCTAATAAAAAGAAAAGAGTGAGTTGTATTGGAAAGGAGTAAGGTAGCAAATGATAAGATGATGAATGGCCAAATCAGGAATGACCTTGCATACAGGTTAGTAAAAGTATTTTAATTAGAGGAACTGACTTCAGTATCTTTATGCCAGGTTCCAAATGCTTTGCTTTTGTGAAAGTATAAAAATTTTATTTAAACAGTTTGTTTCAGTGGTCTAAAACTTCACCTAAATCAACATCCTATACATACAATTTTGCTAGTATTGCTTACAAACATGAAAACATGTGCAATTAAACAATAAATGTGCTCCTCATCACCTAGTGAGATTTAGTAAGAAAATAATTTTCAGCTACACTACAGTTTGAAGAGTAGGAAGAATTATATTTTTCAGTTTAACTCCTAATGTGGAATAAAACATGAATTTTTTTTCCATCTCTCTCGAGGGAATATTTCAGATTCACTGAAGAGCTATGAGATAAAAGAAACAAAAAAAGTTTTATATAGAATTTTTTCAAAGGAAAATTTATTTTTGAAAGTAGAAGGTTTTTTCCCAAGTTCATGTGAACTGCATTTTTTTCTGTGTCTAAGTCCCGACCTGCTCCTGTGTTGTGCCTTGCTTTATTTCCCAGCTTTTTCTGGTTTCCTTTCATCTGTCTCCTTGTTAAGTTGTATCTTCTGTGCAGAATTAGACCTGAAGGTTTTAGTGTTTTTTTTCAGTTTTTCTTAAATCGAGTGTGGTTGCAATCAGAAAACTGTTTGGAGAGGTGAAAGGCAGCAAGAAAGGAGTATGGGGAAGGCTGTGCTGAAAAGAAAGACCAAGGAGGAAAAGAGTGAAGAAGGAAAAGCTCTGCTAGCAATTAACACAGGGTGGCCTTTTCTCATCAGGAGCTGAAGAAATATTTCATGAAGTAGAAGAAATGACTCTTAAGCTACCTCTGAACTCTTTTTTATGTATAGCCTATACATATATTTTGTTGCATAAACACGTCTCAGTTAATGGAATAACTACATTTAGAGATTTGAACTCTGCTTTAGAAGCAATATTAACTTCACCCAAAATGTTTAGAAATAACTGGAAAAGAATGGATAAACTTCTGGAAAATTCTACAGTGAATTCCAATTGGAGAAATCCTCAAAATTCATTCGTCTAAATTGTTACAATGAACCAATAATTAGATATTAGTGTTCTAGACTAAATGTGCATCTTCATTTCTTAGTTTTCCTTCTCTAATTTATACCCAGTAATCCTAACTCTTTTATTTAATCCAATCCTTTTGTTTGTTTGTTCATTTAATGAGAGAGGAAACTAATGCATCTAAGCTTTGCTTTGTTTGCAAAATTCAACTGCTGAGCATCAACCTTCCCCATTTTCTTAAATTTTGATTGGCAGACCAGATTGCAGTAATTCCTCCAGCCCTCCTCTTCAGAAGGTGGCAATTTAACTATTAATTAAAGATAAAGAATCTGATCCTTGTTTCACCTTGATAATCAGAGGCACTCTGTGAAGCCTATTAGAATTAGTTTTCAGTGGGCTGATTAGGATAATATTGAGACAGGAAATTTTAAAATGCTATACTTAGAAATGGGTCAGGAGACAGAAGAAAATATATTTCTATATTGAAGAAAACAAAAAAACAATTTAAATCAAGGCTTGTTTTTCCTGCTCCTCCTGAATAATAACTTGGGATTTTCACCAGCAATTAAATACATTTATTTTTTTTTTAACTTTTATATTTGTGTTGGAAGCCTAATTCTGAAAAGCTGTGTGAAAACTACCATTATACAAAAGCGATTTAATACTAGAAAGCAAACACAAAAACCGAGAAGAGTCAGGATGGTTAGAAAGTTGGTATATCATATGGAATCTTATATTTCTTCTCTCTCCCTGGGAATACAGTTACTACCCATTGTAAAAGTGAACTGCTGAGATAGCAATTGCCTTTCAACTACCCCTGGTAGCTCTGTTCCTCATTATTATAGATATAGTAGATCCTTTGATCGGGCTTAATGAAACATTTGGCTCCCCAAGATGCAGGCTGAACCTCCGTGACCCGTGATAGTTTGTAATCGTCCTGGAAAAAACTTAGTCTCCCCCATTATGGGCTTATTTATGAGAATAAGTTTGTGGTGAGTAATCCTAGCTGACTTTTCTAGCATATGCAGCTCAGCCTGGCTCTTTTATTTCACTTGTTCTGTGTATAGTAACGTGTAGTGGTAAAATCTTATGATTTTGTGGGAATATGGACCCCCCAAAAGAAAACACCACTTTTCCTGTATTTAAAAGTGAAGAAATCTTAAAGAAATAAAAAGAGTTTTTATTTAGATGAGAGAAGTTTTAGGAATATAAAAAAGAATATTGAATTTACCATTGCTCTGATATGGAAATGACAAATTTTTCATACATTTTATATACCAACAAAAGAGAGAGAGAGTGAGAAAAAGACTGAAATTTGTAAGACTGCCTTTTACTTCAAAAATCACTATTTTTTTAGTTAATTAAAAAAACAAACGAAATTTGAAAAGAAGAAAGAATGCTTGCATGATATTTATAATTTTAGTTCTACATCTATGTAACATTTAATTATCTAAAAGAATCACTTAAAATGTTCAGTTAAACTTTATGTCATACTGAAAATAATATAATTTTTAACAATGGTCTTCATAGATTTGAGACTGTAATCAGAAATATAACCTTCATGCATGCCAAGCATTTACTGTATATATATGCATGAGTGCTTATGTTTTAATAGAAAGTAATTACATTAACTACAGATATTTGTCCTAAGATTTAAAAACATATATAGGTGACATTTCTTTGCTCAATCAGTTTCTGTTTTTGTTGTTGGTGGTTGTTCGTTTGTCTTTGAGACAGGGTCTTACTCTATCACCCAGGCTGGAGGGCAGTAGCACCATCACAGTTCACTGCAGCCTCGACCTCCTGGGCTCAGATGATCCTCCTGCCTCAGCTTCCCCAGTAGCTAAGACTACAGGCACACACCTCAACACCTGGCTAATTTTTGTATTTTTTTGTAGAGATGAGGTTTCACCATGTTGCCCAGACTGGTCTCAAACTCCTGGGCTCAAGTGATCCCCCTACCTCGGCCTCCCCAAATGCTGAGATTACAGGTGTGAGTCACCATGCCTGGTCAATCAGCTCTTTTAGAGTCTCTGATCTTCATGTATTTGCTTGATTGTCTCAGCAGCTTTTTCTTTTATTGTATGAATGCCTGTACTAACTAATAATAAAACTACTTAAGTACTTCTTGCTTGAGATATAGCCAATGGAAACTCCACAATGAATTTATCAATTTTGAAATAAATTTTTATCTTTATCATGATAGCAGATACATCGGCAAACAGCAGCATATTGTTCAACTGTATATTATCAAAGACTGACATCAATCAACTAAGAAAGCCATAGGCTGTTTTCAATAGTTGTTTTGCTCTCCTAGACCTTCATTGTTTTGGAAAGCAAATAAATATACAAATATGTGGCACAAATAGTGGCATTTGATTAATATAATTGGTTAGAAATTTTATGTTCCCTTTCTTTTGTTTTAGTAGGGCAACTCTCCTTGCTGAATAGAAGTTGTGATTTGGTATAAATTTATATTAAAGAGCTAATGCCTATTGTACCATAACTGTTGGAAAGCTGTGAGAATAGCAGGTGAGAGTAGCTGGTAGAGCTTTGAGCCACATTCTAAAAGATATGCACAGTGGTCATGCCATTCACCAAGAAACTTTGCTGAGTTGCTTTAATTATCTCCACAAAGTCCTTGCTGCCCAGTCAGAGGTGGTTAACCTGTCAACCCTCAACACCAAGGGTGAACTCTGCTTACTTTTCTTTCAGGATTTTTCTATTACATTTTTTTCCCCCAAAGATCCTGGAGTACTTTTTCTGACCAATCTTTAGTTGAGTAAATATCCTAAGGTTTTTCTCCATAGGCTCATAACAGGATATTTATTTAGATTTATAAACAAAAAGGAAGAATTTTGAAGTCAATGTACATTTTTGTTCAAATGTAGTTATAACATTTTAAGACCCCTAAAGACAACCTTGTATAACACTGTGAACACTCTATGGTACAAATTATTGTATTGCTAACCTATTAGCAATTATGGTACTGCTAATTATTGTATTGTATTGCTAACACATATAGACTGAATGTATGTGTTTGTGCATTTATGCATACTTATTTTTATATACCACGAATAATACTGAAGTAATTGCTAAAAAAGATTTCACAATAAAATTATGTAATTCTAAATAACCAAAAAAAAAAAAAAAAATTACTGGCTACCAGAATATTTGTGGCTGCTTTCTCTGTCATTGATTTTGGTAACAGTCCAAACAAAATTTCACCAGTTGGTCTGTAATTTACTTTATAAAGCTCAAAAATGAGTTAAGGATAAGAGTGAGAGTGCTGATTAAACAAGAATGGTAAAATAAAATATTGACAATTTGTAAAGACAGCTGAGGATACCTGGGGATTAATATATTTTAATATATTTTTTCTGCTAATTTTTCGATTTCTGTTTATATTGGTTTATATTTCTAAATTTCCATAATACAAAAGTATCATATTTCTCATTGACTAATTCTATACAATTTTAAGAGAGAATTTTTTTGAGTGTTACAAAAGCAACAGAGAAAATGTCTTCTCTCTTTTGTCTAGTGTTAGGCCTATGATCTATAAAAGTTTAGACATTCAAAAATACTTAAGCTTGAAAAATGAACAAAGTTAAAGTGTTCTGGGAGGGTGCAATGGAGGTGTCAAAAGACTAAATGGTGGATAAATCAGAAAATAGTTGAATGAATTTTAAACATCATATATAAATATTAACAATCCTTTCATTGATTACTCGGATTACCTCTATGGCAAGTATGTTTGACCACAGCTGGTTTTTTCAGACACCACTAAAATCTTAACTTTGTCTCTAATAAAACTATTAAATATATCTAATTTCAAGTGTTGATTATAGTGTTCAAACAAAAGCTTATACATAGTTTAGAGCAGAACCGGAAAAGACATCAAAATGAAAGTAGTTAAAAATTATTCTTGTATATTCCACAAAATAAAAAAGTGACAAAACGTTATTTATGGAAAATATACAAAGACAAAAAAGTAAAATAAAATCTTATGTAAAAACATTTTTAAAAGAACAATTTTACTTCTTGGAAAAGGTATTTGTTTTCTTTTGAAAATTCACTCTATACTCAAATAATAATGCTGATATGGAATAAATATTCATCAAGAGAAAAATTGTGAAATTGCTTTATTTCACCAAATAATATTATTTTACTTGTGAAACTGAATAAGAAACACATTTATGTTAATTGCATAGCTTGCAATTTTGTACCCCACTTCCAGTAGCTTAGACACAATATTATTAACTTTCCAAAAAATTAACACATATATCTACTTTGATTTTCTCCAAAACACTGAGAGAACACTAATCAATTGTCTATAAATACCTTTGGAACATAGACTTGCTTGATAATTTTACTAGTACACTGTAGACCAGCTATAAAGACTTTGGATGTAAATGAAGTGCTGTATTGCCATGACCTAATCATATCAATTATAGGCAATTGTAACATATTTATCTTGAACATTGAGAATTACTTACTAGAGTAATTGCCAAATACAAAATGTGTTTATTTGATTAGCTAGGGCAGTAACAAGTACTACTTTGTAATCTAAATCTAGAATGTAAGGATCACATTGAATAAGCCAGTCATAAAACTGACATAAAGGATGCATTTACATCTAGGAACATGTTATCTTTGCATATTAAAATATTTTATATCTAGTAGGGAAAATTTTCTGCTTTTATTTTAAATACTCTGTTAATTTGTTTAAATAAATTTCTTTATTTAAAACAAAGAATAGTACTTTTCCAAGTTTCCATAATCAAAACAATGTAAAATAAACTTTGAAAAATCTGGTCCCACTCATATCTCATTTATCACATTTCTCCTCCCACTATGGAAAATTACTTTCTTCCCCTGTATATCTTTGCGGTGTTTCTTTATCGAGAATGCAAGTAAAGTAAATACAAGTATATATTCTTATTTCCCTTGGGTTCTTCCATACAAAATTAGCATACTATATATACTCTATTGTGATGGCTTTCACCTACTCAGCAGTTTCATATGGAGCTCTACTCATATCATTTTATAGAGCGTTTCATCAATTTTTTTTATAATTTTCTATTGTTGACGGACTTTTCCCCTTCACATTGAGAAGAAAATCTGAATTCTTCAGCATGGTTTATAAATCCTACATAGTATGTATGTCCCTCCCTTATTTTTCTGATCGTATGTTATGCCAGTCTCTTCCACACCCATCAAACTTCCAGCATATCAGCATTCTTTCCATTTTGGGGATATTTTAATAAGTGACTTTAATCTTTATTTAATATATAAATTGCCTATGGCACTTCTAAATATATAAGTAGATACACATCTTATTTTGATTCCTTTAAATATACTAATGAATACATTATGAGCCATAATGTTGAATTTATAATGTTTAATATTTATAATATTGAATTCAACATGCTGATTATTTAAGAATTGTATTAGTTTTCTATTGCTGCTGTAACAAATGGACACAAAACTAGTGGCTTAAAACAATACAAAGGTATTATTTCATAATTCTGTAAGTCTGAAGTCAGTCTGATATGAATCTTTTGGGTTGGAATCAAAGCGTCAGCAGGTTTGTGTTCCTTTCTGGAGAAACAACCTTCTTTTGTACTATGCCAAAAAAACTCCAACTTTATCATAAGAACGATGCTCGGTGAATGAGTCCCTTTGCTCTCATCTTTCTCCTTACTACCTTTGTCCCATTCACTTACCTACTTAGCACTCACTTTCACACTGCAGATGGGAATGGGATTATGGTCACCCCTCCTAGTCAGTCAGTGCCTTGGAAGCCATCATTAAGAATTCTTTACCTTCAATTAGGAAGTCAACCTATAATCATCATGCTTTATTCAAACCTATGTATCACTGATTTTCACTATAGAATGCAATTCCCCACATAGCGGGAATAATCAGTCCCAGGCTTCAGATCACATGTAAAGGGAACTGAGTCATATTCCATGAGGAGCCTCTTTCCTGATTCTGTGAATACTAGTTCTTTCCATGTATTGTAAAAGGAATTACCAAATTATTTACCTGGAACAGTCTTCTATAGAACTTCGCAGAAGTGCAGAACAAATCAGTATGTTTATGCAAACACACACACACACACACACACACACACACAAACAGAACATGACTGCTATGATTTTATTAAGATTCAGTTCTCCTTAGTTTGAAGTTCAGCCCCACACTGAGGATATTTCTCTTAGAATTATGGACCTACAGGGCCAGAGTCCTTTTATACAAGAAAAATGTTCAAAATAAACCTGACAATAATAAATAATTAACCATCAATATCTTATTTTTGTTTGGTAGGTAAATATTGTTTGAATATGATGGAGTTTGCTCTGCTCAATTGTAATTAATTTTTCTGTTGACTCTCCAGGCTTCTTCTTCACAATGAGAGCTTCAAAACGGAAAGGCACTTGCATGCCAGCATATTTGCCCAGCTGTGCAGTAATTGTCTTAAATGTGAACTGATGGAAGAAAAACAAACAATGAGAGACTTTGTCCTCAACCCCAGACACTGACAATGAAACCATCCAAAGCAAAAATGACAT
This sequence comes from Homo sapiens, assembly GCF_000001405.40. NCBI lineage: Eukaryota > Metazoa > Chordata > Mammalia > Primates > Hominidae > Homo > Homo sapiens. Next base: position 31,879 of record NW_019805488.1, on the reverse strand, counting down.
TGAGAGTGAAAATAAAACCTAGCCCAACCTGAATGAGTGTTCTGTTTGTTTTTGAAATGAGATATTCTATCTCAAAAACTGTTGAGGCTTACTCTGGTGTCTCCAGGTTAAGGCTTGAAATAAAATTTATAGAGAATTTCAAATGATTATTTAAAGAAATTTAACTTCTTCTATGGTCTAAATTGCTTTAATATTTACTATTTTGAATTTTTATTCTTTAGGTGAATAAATTTATACATAATAAAAATGACTACATAATTTATATTAAATATGGAAATAAAGTAGCTGAGGTTTTTTAAGGTATACATTCTCAAAAGGTGATATGGTTTGGCTGTGTCCTAACCCAAATTGCATCTTGAATTGTAGCTCCCATAATCCCCATGTGTCGTGGAAAGGACCTGGTGGTAGGTAACTGAATAATGAGGGTGTATTCTTTCCATGCTGTTCTCATGATACTGAATAAGTCTCATGAGATCTGATGGTTTTATAAAGGGCAATTTCCCTGCACATGCTCTCTTGCCTGCCATCATGTAAGACATGGCTTTGTTCCTCCTTTGCCTTCTTCTGTGATTGTGAGGCCTCCCCAGCCATGTGGAACTGTGATTCCATTAAACCTCTTTTCCTTTATAAATTATACAGGCTCAGGTATTTCTTCAAAGCAGTATGAAAATGGACTAATACAAAAGGTGTGCTTAGGTCACAAAACTCAAATGACTGTTCATTTGATATCTCCAAGACTCACTTTAAGTGTTAATGCAGCAGTTTTCAACCCTAGCTGTGTATTAGAATTGACTTGGAGGTTAAAAACAAAACACACACACAAAAGAAAACAATCAGGGCTGTCTGTACCCCTAACAACTCTAATAGATCTGCCATAGGGCCTAGGCATTGACCTTTTTAAGTACCCTCCCTCCACCCTTAATGATGGGTAGCATGGATGTAGAGTCACTGCTAAAGAGGAGAATCTTTTCCTAAGTTCATCCACATCTCAGCTGCTCTCCATATTGCTCTAAACTCCTGTGCTTCTGCTTATTTAGTTGCTGGTTGTTGTTTTAAATTTCAGAATTACCACTTCTAATTGCCATTGCCAAGCTTCCCTTAGCAGAATGGTGATATACAGAAAGACCATTTTCTGTTTTTTTTTAAAATCCCTCAAAACAAAGTTAGATTATTTGGAGTATCTAAAATGAATTACACTGTCAAATGAGAAAGGCAGGGTCTGTTTCCAGATGAAAGAGACTGTATAAACTACTCAGACAGAATATCTTTCTGGGCAAAGCCCAGTTCTGCACATTGCTTTCATGTGGTGACTCTATGCCCTTTCTGTACCAGAGACATAGCACTTTCCACATTTCTGGAGCATGAACATCTGTTCCCCCTTTGAAATTTCAATCTTTGTAATTAGTTTGCTCCTAGGATTTTGCAGGGGTTTGCATCCTTCTGTCTCTCCTTAGGCATTCCATAGGATACAATATTCTGCAGAGGCATACTGCCTGTTACCTAAATAACTCCTGAATATGACCATACATGAATAAGGTAGTTATAAATAATATGGGTTGAGAGTAACAGAGACCTGAAATGTAGGTACTTAAATAGTCTCATTGTGTATTTCTTTCACTCATAAGTATATAGATAAATGCAATCCTGAAATGAAGTGATAGCTGTAAATTTTCCGGGGCCAAAAGAGCTTCTAGCTTTCTATACTCCATTACTAGGGTATAGCCTTCAGTGCATGATCCATTACAAAGTTCCAGTTATATCCAGCAAGATAAAAGAAAAGAACATTTTCTGAAATCTGCCTGGTAGCACTTCCTATATCTAATTTTCATGAATTTGATCAGATGACAACATCTATAGAAAGGCAAACTAGAAATATAGTCTTTATTCCAGGTAATGAGGTGTTCAGCAAAAATAAAATGGAAGTGTTTTGAGGAGGAGAACAGGTGCTGGAGGTCAGTAGGTAAGGGTCTTTGCACCAGAGGATTCAGTATAACAATGTAAAGTAGGATTTGGAACTAAGGTAAGCAAAAGTGTAGAGTAGGTTTTGGTGCTGTAAAATCAGTCACCACAATGGGGTGAAAATATATGTGGTGGCTGCAATGGTACACTGCTTGTGCTCCTTTCGGGTCCCAGAGACACTTACACATTTCCCCAGCTGGTAGGAGCATTGGCTATAGATAGCTTGCAACTAAGTCCTTGGGACTTTTCTTTGGCTAAAAGGAGTTGCCTCACTGACAGTTATGTCCCATGCCCTATAGGGCAGCCAAAATCTGATAATTGTTCAATGCAGAGGGACAAAGACCTGCCACCTTGCTTTAATCCTGGACAACTCTGAAGCACTCTCTCAACTCCTGAGCTCCTGAGCAGGCCAAGGCTGTGGTTGCATCTCCATCTCAGTTCAGATTCTCCCCCTACATAATCCTGATTTCCATACTCCTTTACAGGTATTTTCCTCAAAAGCACTCATAAATATACCTTTTACATGCAGAACTCTTTCACAGAGACTGTTCTCCCACAAACCACACCAAAGAGAGTTGATAGCAGAAGTTGTCTTAAGATACACACCTTTGAAAGGAATTGGAGCTGGATCATCAGCAGTTAGCAATGATCTCCTCATTGCTAACAAGGTAGAAAATTACTAGCCCCTAAGTATGCTACAGTGCCACAATTGTTAAAGCTTTCCTCTGTGTAGAACTAGGATAGAATACCTATAGAAAGGAATGCAATGGTGCCTGCAATATATCACACTTTTAGGAAGTTTGGGAAAAATAGAAATTATGAGGATTATGAGATTATTAGTGACATTCATTGGGTATTATCAGTGTGCTAGTGACAGAAAATAAAAAGCTGAGGGCAACTGCTGGCAGATTTAAAGAGACATTTGAAAATAAGAGGTTCTCATTAGCTGCATGTGAAAAGTTTTTCTATCTCTTGGAAAGGGAGAACAGAAAATCTGAGAACTAGGCTCAGAAATTAAATATCTAAGAGTAAAGGAAACCCAAGGACACTTGAATTTTCAAGTGTATCAAGTCTTCTATCCCAAGGCCTGGCCCCTCATAGGCTGAGTCTTGGAATGGAGGTACCTAGATAGATGGACTCAAGAATCTCGTAATCCCAGATATCTCAGATCTCTGGACCAGTAGAAATGTCTCAGTACTCTCTGCTAAAGGCCAGTGCCTTCCCTGGCTTGAAGACAATGCCGATGCTTCCTTAGCTTTCTGTTCTCTTTCCTTGTGGTATAGACCCCTCCTATCCTTACTTCCTCTCTTAGGGACAAAACCAATAACTGGGGTCCAATTACAACATAACCTGGAGGAGAAGTATTGGTCATCCAAGGAAGGAAGTGAAATACATGCCAAATTTGCTAAATGTCCTAGGAAACATATATGACAAGAGCCAGGAAGAAAGAATGGGGCTGGATTATGAAAGTTCCATATTGACGGATGTGAAGCATAAAGTTGGATAGGAAAGAGAGATTGTTCAAATGAGCAGTGCCTCCTGATACAAGAATTAATAACTTTAGTTTCAAGGGAGATTGGAAAATGGTGCTAGCATGCTACTAAGGATGGCTCTTGGAAGCTTGACAAAGGGTGTGGTCCAAATAAAGTAAAGTAGAAATGCTGTATTGTTAAGTCAGATAGGGAAGAAGAGAATAAAAGGCTCAGAGAAGTATTCAGCCTGGAGTGGATACATTATTAAGGCTGGAAAACTCATCATTGGTCTCTAGTCTCTTGAAGGACCTAAAGGACACTTCATTTACCAAAGTGATAAGAAGTACACTGGTGATCAGGGTACTGGCATTGTTGAGACAACTCTCTGCTCTAGAATAGGGTTGCTTGTGGGAGATGCTGTTGCAGAACGGGCTCCCTGATAGCAGTGGGGGTGATAGGCTCTAGAATAAATAGAGACCATATTGTGGTGTTTAATCATTACAGGCAAGGCAGTCTGTAATGGATGGCATAGTGATATTGGGAGGGCAAGCTGATTTGTGGAAAGCTTTGGAGATAATTAATAGAGTGTGGTATTCTTAGAGCAACATAAGTTGGGCAGTCAACAAGGGTATCAGATGATCAACACTGAGAGCAGCCACTCTAATAGGAATCCACAATATCTTTTCCCATTTCTTGACCTGATACAGTTTTGTAAATCAGAAACTTCTATCTGAAGGAGAGGCAGAGTCCCATTGAGAAAGGACCTGAAAATACCACAACAAGGTTATGGAGAAATAACTCTTCTAGACCTTCTGCAAAAGGATCTATGACCATTTATGCAGATAACCACAATAGGGGTCAAAATTAATGTTTGCAGGATTTAAGTTGGCAATAATACTGGGGATTTGAGGCATCATGATGACCTACCTCTCACCCCTACCATTTGAATGGGGGTAGTTGGGACACAGGTAATAAATCAAGTCCTGACCATGCCTGGCTCTCAGTGAGTGTTCTGTATCTCTGAATGTATATACAGGTCATTTTGCTGGTCTTCACCTGTATAACTCAGTGGAAATAATTGGTAGTTGAAAGAAATCCCCAAAATACTTCACTAGCCTATATGACCTGTCATAGTGTGTTGGGCCAAGAAGAAACTTCCGAAACTGTTCCTCTCCTGGGAAAGATAGCACAAAAGCAGTATCAACTTCCAGAGAAAATAGAAGAGATTAGCTCTGTTCTAAATTATCTACGGGATTCAGGGGTTTGGTCCTCATTATATCCCCATTTATTTCAAAATCTAGCTTCTAACAAAGAAGATGGATCCTGGCAGATGACAGAGGAATATCACAAACCCGACCAAGTAGTAACCTTAATTGTAGCTGCTCTGCCAATTATGGTGTCTTTGTGAGAGCAGCTTAACTCAGTCTCAGGCATACATCCATGATCAGGTGAAAGCATTTCTATTTGTATCCCTTTTAAGAGAAAAGATCAAAACCAGTTCTCATTTATGTGGGACAAACATAAGAACACATTTAACATTGTGCTCCAAGGCTATGCTAATTCTTCCGCCTTCTGCCTCAGTAAAATCAGAAGGCACCTGGACCATCTGGACATATCACAGAAGATAAAATTGGTCCACTATTTTGATGACATTAACTTAATTAAACCAGATGAGCAAGACATGGCAAATATATTGGAGGCCTTCATAAGACACATATATTCCAGAACAGAGTTATAAAACCTGTAAACTTTCAAGGCCCTAAAATTTTTAGAATGGTCTGGGCCATGTCAGGAATACCTCTCCAAAATGAAGAACAGAACACTTGGGCTGTTACCACTTTTGGCTAGTATTCATGAGGCTACTGTGAACATTACTGTATCTGTTTGAGTCCCTGCTTTCAGTTCTTTTGGGTACATACCCAGAAGTGGAATTACTAATACAGCCAAACTTTCACTTTTATTTTGCTTTTCAAAGTAGTCACATTTCATGGTTTTAAAAGTCAAACAGTTCTATACTGTTTCTAATGAAGAACAGCAGTTACCTATCCTACCTCTCTTTGCCCCGATTCCTTCCTCAGTGTCATCCACTTTAAACTCTTCAGCTGTTTGTTTTATTTACCATATTTATAAATTTCATTCTGATTTGCTGATTTTTTTACATTGGAGATTATACTTATTTCTCACTATAGAAGATAAAGACTTAACTCCTATATACCATAATGGTAAAATGTTTGAAAACATAGCTATGGTAAGTTCTCCCATCCCTCAACAAAGTTATTTAAAGAAAAGAGAAAAAGCTAAAACATTTGTGAAATTTAATGCCAATAAAGTAAAATATGCAAAATGAGAAAACGAATCAAAGAGAACATAAGTAGAGAAGATAGGCAAAAAAAAAAAAAAATTCTACACACATATATTTAGACTCTAAAAAAACTAAAAATAACCAAAGAGAATTAATATTGAACATGATAATTTAAGACTATAATTCCCAATGTTCTGAAGTAAAAGAGGACACATTTTACTAGAACTAGCCAAAAGCAAGCTGAATAAGCTATGTTTAAATCAGAGAAAGTGGCCATCAAAGCAGAGAATATTAAAGGAAATATGACCATTTCATCATAACAATTAGGTCAACGTTCTTAGAAGACTTACAAATCTCAAACATGTATACACTGAACAAGAGTGCTTCAAGGTATACATGGCAAAACAGAACAGAATAGAAGGACAAGTTCGCAATTATATTTGAAGGCTTTACTACAACTATCCAATAATGGATAGAAAAAAAACAGATAATAATAGAGAAAACTTGAACACCATCAATCAAATTGGCCTGATCAACACTTTTAGAACACTCTCCTCAACAAAAAGAGAATATACGTTGTTTTTCAGTGTACATAAAATATTTTTTAAAATACCATAACCTGAGTGAAATGACAAATCACCTTAAATCACTTTAAAATGATCACTTTAATCACTTTAAAATAATATAACTCATATTAAGCATGTTCTTGAATCATAACTAATTCAAACTAGAAAGCATTAACATAAAGGTATTTAGAAATTTTATAAATATGTGGAAGTTTTACAATATAGTTCTAAATAAATAATTAGTGAAAGAGAAAATCTCAAGAAAAATTTTGAAAATAAGTATCAAAATTTATAGCATTGAATTTTATATTAGAAAATAAAAAGGAATTAAAGTAGAAATCTAAGCTTTGGCATTAAGAAACAAACATTAAAAATAAACAAAACCCAAATAAGCAGAAGTAATGAAATAATATGAGTATGAAACAATAAAATTCAATGCACACACACACACACAAAATCAGAAAATCAATAAAATGAAAACCTAGTTTTTGGAAAATGTCAATAAAAATGACAAGCCTTTCAGCAGACTGACCAAGAAAATAAAGAAAATATGAATTTTTCAATACTGGGAACAACATTAAAGCTTCATAGACAGTAAAAAAAAAATAATAAAAATTGAAATAAAAAATTACAAAAAATACTATGCCTCTGAATTCAACAATTCAGAAGATATGCAATTCCTTGAAGGACACAAACTAACCAAGCATATTTTAATCTAATAGATTAACATAAATAAAGATTTATCTATTAAAGAAATTGGATTCATAGTTAAAAAGCCTTCCAACAAAGACAACTTCAGGCCCAAATCATTTTAATAGTAAATTCTAATAAATATTTCAGGAAGAAATAATACTAAGTCTGTACAAACTCTTCACAAAATGAAACAAGATCAGCACCACTCAATGCATATTATGAAGCTAGCCATACCCTAATACCAAAACCAAGTGAAAAGAAAAATGTTACAACTAACAAAGTTATAATAAAATAAGTTACAAGTAACAAGAAAAAAAACCTTACCAATAACAAAAACTACAAACTCAAATTCCTCATAAAAATAGTATTATAAGTAACAGGAAACAACAGAAACAAGAAAAACATTACAAGTAACAAAAACTATAAACCACAATTCCTCATAAACATAGACATAGTAAACAAAATATGTAAGATATATTAGTAAATCGTATCTTTAAAAAGGATAATATACTATAATCAAGTGTGGTTTATACCAGGAATGCAAGACTGGTTTAACATTTAAAGCCCAATCACCATAATTCACCACAGTAACAGATGAATAAAAGGAAAATCACTAAGAAGAAAAGGAAAATTATTTAACTTGACAAATTTAATTTACAGAAACTTACATGTGGCCATATATTTTTCATCTAAGATCAGAAACTAGACAAAGATTTCCTCTCTCAACACTCATATAGAAAATCATAATGGAAGTCCTAGTCAGTGCAATAAAGTCAATTGGTTGTTTTTTTTTTTTTAAAAAAAAAGGCATTCAGATTGGAAGGGAAAAAAAAATCTATCTTCAGTCAGAGAAAACATGATTGTCTATATAGATGCTCCAGAGACTACATAAAACTTCCAAAACCAATAAAGAAATTTAACAAGATCACAAAATAAAAGGTAAATATTCAAAAGTCAATTTTATTTATATATATCAGTTATGACATGTTGAGATTCAAAATTTTTAAAGTAGCACTTTCAATACCACCAAAAATATCAAATATTTTCAAAAGCTACAAAACATTGATAAAATAAGTTCAAGAGAAGGGATATTAATTGTTTTAATGGAGAGGTAAACTATGTTCATGGTATGTAAGAATTAATACTGTTAAGATGTAATTTTCTTCTAAAATTGATCTATAGATAAGACACCATCTTAGTGAAAATCCCAGCAGATTTTTTTTTGATGCATCAGCAAGCTGATTCTAACGTTTAAATAGAAATGCAAAGGAGTTAGAATAACTCAAACAATTTGTAAAAATAAGAACCAAGTTGCAGACTCACACTACTTGATTCTAAGATGTACCCAAAACTACGGTAATGAGACACTGTGTTGTTGGTGAGAGGAACATATAGACATATATCAATGAAACAAAAAAGAGTTCAGAGAAAACTGACTTGACAAAGCTGCAAAAGTAATTCAAAGATAAAAAGATAGTCTTTTATACAAATGACACCAAAACAAATGGTCCTATAAATGCAAAACAGAAAGTAAACCTCAATAGACAGTTAATATTTTATTCAAAAATTAACTGGAAATGGACATCAACCTAAAGGTAAAATGTAAAATTATAAAATTTCAAGAATAAATCACATGCACAATAGTTTCACAAATCACATTTTTGTGCTTTTCCTTCCAAAGTGTTTCAATGTGTTCACCATGTCTTTTAGTTTGTGTGTTTCCTGAGGATACGGAAACTTATTTACATCTTTCTTCTTCCATTGTCCTGTCTGATATAATACACTGATACTCAACACGTATTTTATACTTGGTAGATTAATTTTCTTCATACTATGAATCTCACAAAAATATTCCACACTTATTTTTACAGATGTAAATTTTCTTTCAATTTAGGAATATTATGAAGTGTAAAGAAGAAGAGGTTAACTGTTACATTAGTGACCATTTAGCAAGAGAGTCAAAGGTAAGAAGTTAGGCGTTAGTGGAGTATAATTTTAGCTCACAGTGTGAGTGTTAATTAAATGTTACTGCTAATATTACAGCTATAACAGTATAATCACTTGTGAAGTATAGAAACAAAGTGATTATAGAAGTAAAATTAGTGAATTAAAACAGGCAGTTAGTGAAGGATCCTGTTAACACACCATTATATTTTTAAAGAACTAAAATTGAATGTATGAAATTAAGAATGCAATACCATTTAAAATAGCCACAAAAAGAATAGAATACCTAGGAGTACAGCTAACCAGGGAGGTGAAGGATCTCTACAGTAAGAATTACAAAACACTGCTGAAAGAAATCAGAGATAACACAAACAAATGGAAACGCATTCCACGCTCATGGATTGGAAGACATTAAAATGGCCATGCTGCCCAAAACAATTTATACATTCAATACTATTACTATCAAGTTATCAATGTCATTTTTTCATAGAATTAGAAAAAAAACTATTCTAAAATACATATAAAACCAAAAAGAGTCTGCATAGCGGGAGCAATTCTAAGCAAAAAGAACAAAGCCAGAGTCATCACATTACCCTATGTCAAACTATACTGCAAGGCTACGGTAACCAAACAGCATGGTACTGGTCCAAAAACAGACACATAGACCAATGGAACAGGTTCGAGAACCCAGAAATAAAGTCACACAAACACAACTATCTGATGCTTGACAGTCAACAATGTCAAGCAATGGGGAAAGACCTCCCTATTCAACAAATAGTGCTGGGGTAACTGGCTAGTCAGCCATGCAGAATATTGAAACTGGACCCCTTCTTTTTCACAATACACAAATTTCAACTCAACATGGGTTGAAGGCTTAAATGTAAGACCTAAAACAATAAAAACTCTAGAAGAAAACCTAGGAAATATTCTGGAAATTGGTCTTGAAAATGAATTAATGACTACATCTTCAATAGCAATTTCAACAGAAACAAAAATAGACAAGTAGGACCTAATTAAACTATGGAGCTTCTGTACAGCAAAAGAAACTATCAACAGAGTAAATAGACAGTCTACAGAATGAGAGAAAATGTTTGCAAAGTACACATCTAACAAAGATCTAATATCCAGAATCTGTAAGAAACTTAAACAAGTCAACAAGCAAAAAACAAACTCCATTAAAAAAAATGAGGAAAGGTCATGAACAGACACATCTCAAAAGAAGGCATCCACCCAGCCAACAAACATGAAAAAATGTTCAATATCACTGATGATTAGAACAATGCAAATCAAAACCACAGTGAGATAGCATCTCACACCACTCAGAATGGCTATTATTAAAAAGTGAAAAAAAAAAACAACAGGAGAGCTTGGTGAGGTTGTGGAGAAAGAGAAATGATGACAAACTGATGGTAGAAATGTAAATTAATTCAGCCACTGTGAAAAACAGTTTGGAGATATCTTAAATAACTTAATACAGAACTACCATTCAACCCAGTAATTTCGTAACTAGGTAGAGACTTAAAGGAAAATAAATCTTTCTACCAAAAAACACAAGCACTTGTGTATTCATCGCAACACTATTTACAATAGCAAAGATATGAAATCAACTTAGGTGCTTATCAACAGTGGACTGGATAAAGAAAATGTGGTACATATACAACATGAAATACTATGCGGCCATAAAAATGAATGAGATAATGTCCTTTGTGGCAACATGAATAGGGCTGGAGGTCATTATCCAAAGTGAATTAACGCAAGAACAAAAAATCAAACACCACATGTTCTTACTTATAAGTGGGAGTTAAACATCAAATGCACATGGACACAAAGTGGGGAAGAGTAGACATTGGTGCCGACTTGGGGGTGGAGGGTGGGAAGGTGGTGAGGATCAAAACACTACCTATAGGGAATTGTGCTTACTACCTGGGTGATGAAATCATTTTTACACCAGACCCCAGTGACATGCAGTTTACCATATAGCAAACCTGCCCATGTATCCCCAAAACCTAAAATGTAAGTTGAAAAAAATAAATAAATAAATGTAGTGAGTCCAAGACAATGGAGCAAAAAATTCTTGATATTCAAATTAACTGATATGAACTTTATAATCAAAGAGAGCTTTGAAGACAAAAGAAGAATATAATATTCAATATTGTATGTATTTGACTTTTTAAAGACAATTACTAATCATACATATTTTTAAAAATATTCCAAGACTAGATGATTTTGCAATTTTTGAGTCAAGATTATTTTTTAAGTATTTTTGTTGTTGTTGATCTCCTTCTGATGGAATGGGTTTAATGTGCAGAATGTGGCTTCCATTTCTATCAATCTTACATGTTTGATGAAATTGAAGGAGATAATGTACAATTTGAAATAATGAACACCTCCCTGAAGTAGAAAATAAGGTAGATCTAGAGAATTTTACCAACAGGTAAGAATTAGATGATAAAACCCAGAAAGATGTATTTGTTTTACTAACTGAAAGTTAAAATATGATAATTATGTAAATTATTTCCGATTTCTATTTTGTCCACTTTTTCACTCTGCATAAAAATATTTCCAGTGTCTTAATATTTCAGATAGCAGTCAGAGTTAGGCATATCTTAGGTATGTGGGAGCAATATTTATGTTCACACTTGAAATTTGCTTGCCCTAACCTATTTGGAAATTCAATAGCCTCTCTTAAAAGTACAAGGATGCCAATGTAAAACTCATTATTATTTGATGCCAAGATTAAGATCCCCTATTATATTAGTCCATTCTCATGCTGCTATAAGGATATACAGGAGACAGAATAATTTATTTAAAAAAAAAGAGGTTTAATTGACTCACAGTTTAGCATGGACAGGGTGGCCTCAGGAAACTTACAATCATGGTGGAGGGGAAGCAAACATGTCCTTCTTCACAAAGCAGCAGGAAGGAGAAGAATGAGAACCCAGTAAAGGGTGAAACGCCTTATAAAAGAGTCAGAGCTCATGAGAACTTATGAGAATTATCAGGGGGCAAACTGCCCCCATGATTCAATTATCTCCCACCAGGTCCCTCTCATGACACATGGATTATGGGAACTAAAATTCAAGATGAGAGTTGGGTGGAGACACAGCCAAAACATATTACCTGTAGTTAAAAGTAAGACAGAATAACACTAATGATGAGGAATAACATCAATGATGAGCACTTCTCTTAGTGACATGTAGGATGTTAAAACCCACAAAATATTCTATCACTTTATCTCCTTTGTTCATTCTTTCTGTTTCATGCCCTTTCTTGCATCATTCTAAAATGAATTTGAGAAAGCTATACAAATAACTGTAATACAAAATTATCATGATAAACAGTTGATGGAATGCAATAGAAGGAAAAGTAAAATAGATTTACTAATAAGAGATGGCGTAGGACTAACACACTTTAATGTGTGTCACAATAACCACAAATACTAGCAAGATACCTTTTCATCAGTGTCTGTAGGGTGTGCACATCTTCCACATATTCACTCAAAGTGAAGCTGACTGATGTGTTTGTAGGAATGATATAGTCATATCATTCAATTCGCTCAGAGAAGAATAAAGGTATATGTAAAGAAGGGAGAAGGTAGGGGGAAAATCTTATAATTTTCAGTGGTTCAGACTGTCATAATTTTTTAAGAAATAAAATATTTATATCATTTTCAGGACAGTCATTTGAAATGTTCTGAGGATTACAGAAGCCTATAAGCATTTGAAACATTTTTTGGGGAAACATCTCTTAAGATGTTGTATAAACTACACAGAAATATATCTACGCATTTGCAGTCAATTGATTTTCAACAAAAGGTACCAAGAAAATACATTAGAGAAAGGACAGCCTATTCAATAAATGGTGCTAGGAAAACTGGATATCTCATGTTTATTGTGTCCCTATTCACAATAGCCAAGATATGAAATCAACCTAAGTGCTCATCAATAAATGAATGGATAAAGAAAATGTACATTTACACAATTGATTATTACTCAGCCATAAGGAAGTATTACATCCTGTCATTTGCAACAATTTGGATGGAACTAGAGGACATTATGTTAAGTGAAATAAGCCAGGCACAGTAAGAAAAATATTACATGTTCTCACTTTTATGTGAGAGCTAAAAAATTGATTTCATAAACATAGAGAGTGGAATGATAGTTACTAAAGGATTGGAAGGATAGTGGAGAGGGGGGAAAAAGAGAAGTTTGTTAGTGGGTATAAAAGTACAGTTACACAGAAGGAATAAGATCTAGTACTCAGTAGCACAATATGGTAACCACAGTAACACTAATTTATTGTGTATTTCAAAATTACTAGAAAAGTGGAATTCTAATCTTGCTAATACAAAGAAATAATAAATATTTTAGGTAATGGATATACCGATTCCCCTGATTTAACCATCACATATTGTATGCTGGTATCAAAATATCACATGTACTCTACAAATATGTGCAACTATTATGTATCTATAAAAATAAAAAATAAAATCTTAAGAGATATGAGATAAATTAATTTTAGAAATCAGTTTTAGAAGTTGGAATTCTATAAAGATCACAAATCGAACAAATACTTTGAGTCTGATCCCATCTCTAGATTATGAGCCCCTAAAGGGCAGGCATGTTATCTAATTAATCTCATGATTCCTAATCGTCCTTAGCACCATGTTTTACACAGTAATTTTTAGAAAAATATTGGTTTAATTAAAAGGAAACAAGCTTTTTGTTTAGTTTATACTTTCACAAATGCAAACTGAATACTACATATTCATATTTAAAAGTTTTTTGATTTTTCTTGAAGAAGTGCTTTTTGCAGCCTCAGTTATGGGGCCAAGAGGAGAAAAATTAAAAAAAAGAACTTCAACAATTAATTATACATATGTGTGTGGGTTTGTGCCTATGTAAATGTTAAATATTTTTGTTTTATTGTACCTATGATAGCAGATAGTGCTGCTTACCTCCCCAATATTCATTCTCCCCATCTTCTAAAAGGAACTAAATATTAAATTCTTTGAGAGTCACAAGTAGTCCAGAAAAACTACATCCCCAGAATGCCTTGCAAATTCTAGTCACGATGCCAAATAATTCTACAAACAAGATGGAAACTTAAGCATTATGGATGAACTAATGATAGTTTAAAAAAAATGGGGAGCCAGCCACCATAAGTCTTCTGTCCTTCCCCTGCTTCTTTTTTTTTTTTTTTTTTTTTTTTTTTTTTTTTGAGACGGAGTCTCGCTCTGTCGCCCAGGCTGGAGTGCAGTGGCGGGATCTCGGCTCACTGCAAGCTCCGCCTCCCGGGTTCACGCCATTCTCCTGCCTCAGCCTCCCGAGTAGCTGGGACTACAGGCGCCCGCCACTACGCCCGGCTAATTTTTTTTTGTATTTTTAGTAGAGACGGGGTTTCACCGTTTTAGCCGGGATGGTCTCGATCTCCTGACCTCGTGATCCGCCCGCCTCGGCCTCCCAAAGTGCTGGGATTACAGGCGTGAGCCACCGCGCCCGGCCAAAGGAAATCAATTAAAGCCTACCTCTCCCTGATATTCTGCTTCTAGAATGGAATGGGTTAAAAGGAGACTAATGACACAGAAGAATATGTTATGGAGATAGGTAGTAGTGTGTTTGGATAAGAAAATGAAATTATTCTCAGCAAAAGAGTAACTATAATGGTGATATTCAGTTTAGGATCACACACTTTATACTATACTGTGTCAGGGTAGTGAAAACTATTCTGAAGTTACTTAGTAGTGTATGAAATCTCATCCCGCACCCAAACAATAGAGTCTAGGTTAAGGCTTTGTTGTAAACTTACTTCTAAAAGTAATTAAGTCATCATTATATCCACTTACATATTAGGGTGAGGGAACAACTTTACCTAGAAACTTACGGACTCTTCTCTACACATATGACTTTGATAATACCAAGTAAGTTTTTGTCATGAATAATTTTCAGACTTTTGAGGAATAATAAACCAATAAAACTAGTTGGGGCTTTTACTACAGGGCAGGAGGACTCTGTGAGTAATGCTTATTCTATTTTTGGAAAATTTGATAACAAAGACCTGATAAAATTCAAGTCAGAGACTTAAGAATAAATAAGAATGTATCTCTTCTCTCTGGAACCTTCTCGCCTTGAAAACAAATGCCAGGGCAGACCTGAATCTAGAGACACTTTGCTGTCTACACCATGTGGCTTACGATTAGGATATGTGTAGAGTAGGGTTTACCAAAGACGGAGAATAAACATTTCTCATTTTCAATGCTATTTTATCAATCTTTGAAAATAAATAGATCAATGAAAAATAGGATCTATTTCCTAGAACTTGAATGCTAATAAGAGTATATTTCCACTAGAAAAAAAATTCTTTGGTAGATCAAGTTGAGCATTAGCTATTGCTATTGCTATTCCTCTAAGATTTCTTTCAGGAAGACCTAGTTTTATGATCAATACAATTGCTTCAAAACTTTTAATTATTTATCTTTTGGTCACATGTCTAGACCCAGCAGTTTTTGTCTCTCCTTAGTGGGTCATAACTCCTTCCCTTGCCCCTTCCTTTTCTGTTCTCTCCTTTCCTTTTCTTTCTTTTCTTTTTCTTCCTTTTCCTTTCTATTTTTTGTTTTTATTTCCAGACAATGCTTGATAATTTCCTAAGGTTTACAAACAATGATGGTTTATTATTCTAATTCTCCTGTACCCCCTGTTCTCTCATAGGCAAAAAACACATGAGCAAGTGATTCCTCTTAACAATCATTTTGTTGACTAGAAAGGCTATTATTGTCAGAAGAGTTGCCAGCAAATGAAGTAAGGTAGAAAAACATATATGAATGAAAATTTGGGTGACCCCTTTACCAGAAATTTCATGTATAGATAGAATTCTAGGTTTCTGGAAAAAGTTAAAAATCACTGTTGTTCCTGCATTTCAAAGTCCCACCTTACACATAGATGTCTATGGTTAAGAAAGATACTTGTTCCTTTTTTTCCCGTAGTTTTACTCGTTTTTACAATTTAGTATGATACATTGAATTAATTAAACTTATTTCAGTTCCAGCAGCTAATCCAAATGAGAGAAACCTTTATGAAAAAAATATGTAAAGCAATTTGTATTTGACATAGCCTCTTCTTTCTGAATTCACATTTGAGTGATAACTAAGACAAGATCACTTGTGTTTTTCTCTCCTTCTTAATGAGTGCTCTACACTATTTGTAGTACACAGGATTGCACTGTTATCCAATTAGGAAAGTATAGAGGATGCAAGGCTTATCATTATTCTGCACATAATTGAGTCATGCCATCATCAGTGTTTTATTTTCCTCAGAGATGCTTATTATCATGCATACCTTTTGCTTTTTGGCAGAACCGAGGATGTCCTTTGGGGGTTGAACCTCAGAGTAACTTGACATCCTCATTAACCTTTATGGCAACTAAGGTATTGAGCATCCTCAGACTGAAGAGAAGTCTCAAAATTTTTATTATTCCATTTCCCCTCAATTCATTGCATACAATCTCATATTGCTGCAGATCAGAAAAAAAAATGAGAAGAAACCAAAATACATCCTTCAGATTTTTGAATATATGTTTAGTGTATGTCTAAACAGAAATGGCAAATGCTTTTTTTCTTCTCCTAAATGAAGAGGCAGACAGCCTATGAAAACATACCTTTAGTACTTCACATAACCATTTAGTTTTGTTATTTCAGAGAACTTGAAGCCTGAAACATATTTTAATGGTTGCTAAGATTACCCATCTTATTTTATAAATGAGGTTCTGAAGGCTTAGAGAGAGTAAAAGACTCACCAAAGTTGGCAGATGAAAATTAAAGCCACAAGGTTTTGTTTTTTTTTTTAAGCCAACCTTGTTTGATGCATGTTAAAGGATGTTTAAGTGTTTAAAATATGAGACTATAATATAGGTTAAAGAGAATGATCAAAATTTCATTTCTTTCCAGATTATTCTCCAGATTACTGTAATTCATCTTTTAATATGTACATTTGAACGTGATGTTTCTCTTTTAAAATGCTTTTCTAGCTCTTCTTCACCTACATTCGTGTTTCACAAATTTGGATGATCATCAGAATCCTCTAGCACCCACTACGTCATGCTCCTTATTCAGCAAAAAAGCACTTAATGTACTGTACTCCTTTTTTTTTAAGATTATTTGTTTGCTCTCCCAGTGGTTTTTGAAAACCTTGACAACCATCTCTTACATATTATTAAATTTCCTAAAACACATAATTGTGTTTTTCACATGGTAAACTGCTCACTGAACATGTTTTTGTTGTTGTTGTTGTTGTTGTTGTTGTTTTTGAGACAGAGTGTCGCCCAGGCTGGAGTGGATGGCTCGATCTCGGCTCACTGCAACCTCTGCCTCCCAGGTTCAAGGAATTCTCCTGCTTCAGCCTCCCGAGTACCTGGGACTATAGGCGCCCGCCACCACGCCCATCTAATTTTTGCATATTTAGTAGAGGCGGGGTTTCACCATATTGGTCAGGTTGATCCAGAACTCCTGACCTCAGGCAATCCACCCACCTTGGCCTCCCAAAGTGCTTGGATTACAGGCGTGAGCCACCACACCCGGACTGAACATGTATTTTTATTGCAAGATCATCGTGGATACCATTTTCTTCTTCCAGAATTGTGTGTTAAAAATCTCTGATTATTTTTTTTTCCCACCAAAATATATCATACTTCCTTTGGGCTGGAAATGTGCTCTTACAAGTCTCTTTTTCTGAGATATCCTCTATTGCTTACCCACCTACCAGAGAGTGTGGAGGGGGATGCCATTCATTAGGACCAAAAGGGGACTTGGAGTCTGTGGTAGGGAACTGGGAAATGGCCGTGGCTTTCAGGGATAAAGGTAGCCTTGAAATGAAGCATTTGATGAACTGTTTGACTTAGGAAAAATCTTTGTAAGATCTCTTCACTACACAAAGTGTTTAAAATGTATTTTATAATTGTAGAATAGAGAAATGTGCATGGATGGGCTGGGCATGGTGGCTCACGTCTGTAATCCCAGCACTTTGGGAGGTCAAGGAGGGTGGATGACCTGAGGTTAGGAGCTTGAGACCAGCCTGGTCAAAATGATGAAACCTTGTCTCTACTAAAAATAGAAAAATTAGCTGGGCATGGTGGTGTGCATCTGTAATCCCAGCTACTGGGGAGGCTGAGGGAGGAGAATCACTTGAACCTGGGAAGCGGAGGTTGCAGTGAGCCAAGATCATGCCACTGCCCCTCAGCCTGGGCAAAAGAGTGAGACTTCGTCTCAAAAAAAAAAAAGAAAAAAAGAAAGAAAAAGAAAAAAAATTTGCATGTATGTATCTACATCCATCTCTTCATCACACCCATGGAACTTGAAGATCTGGGTGTTACAGTTTCAGAGCAGGGTTACATTTACAAAAACATAGGCCTGTCTTCAAGGCAATATTAAAGTCAGTCAAATCCTTTGCTTTCATTCCTAAAGAACATTAAAATGGAATAAAGAGACATACCCCAGTTCTTTACTACTTTTTCCTTAATTTTTTAGTTGTTCCCTAAACTCACTGGAGCATCTCATTCCACAGAAACCTTCACATTCTTGCCATTGCTGATTTTTCCCAGATAATTTTATTTTCTTAATGACCTTTGTCTCTACCAGAACTTCTAATTATGGCCACACCGTGTACTCACAGCAACCATAGTGCTAACCCATGAAGCTCCCAGCTGCTCAGTTCTGGAAGGAGTGAACTCTACCTTCCATGCTTACTGATTTTCTCACTAGAATTAACCTATCTCCCTCCCTCTGGTCGAATTCTACAGGAGTTTAGTGTAGATAATTATACTCACATGTTAGTAATTTTATAAAATTATATACATCCATATGTAATTTACCAGTTATTAGTAGTTATAATTTTAAATTTTTAGTGTATAAAATATGGCAAATAAAATATATAAATTAAAGAACCTCCATTTATACTACCAGATGATAAACACAATTAACAGATCATTGTATCTTTTCTGATTATAGATAGATATAGATTTCAGTATATACAACCTAATAACAGAATTTGAATCTTATAATACACATACGTTTCTCTTCCCACTTATTCTATAATGATAGTTTCTATTGAAACTTTACATGCTTTCATAAAAATGTGATTTTTAATGCTTATGTTTAATTAGATGAATACACCATAATGCCTTTAAACATTCTCAAGTATGTGGACATTTAGGTGAAAAAAAAATATTGAAGTGAACTTTACAAGTTTCCATTTTATAGAAAGAAAAATCTGGTTTTAGTACCTGAGGAGATTCACAACTCCTTTTGAAAACTCTTCAGAATCATCAAAGAACCAAAGATACTTTCAACTCCCCGCCAAGAAAATGTTTGTTGTAACATGAAACTGGCTTGGGTTCAGTTAAACATTCTTTTTAAGTTACCTAGAGAGTAAGTCAAAGTGTCACTTGCTCTATTCTAGTGGTAGAAATAGCTGTTTGTTACATTTCTAATTTTTTTTAATTAAAATTTAATGTCAGCTCCAAATTTCTTTTTCAAATTTTGTTTTTATGATTACCGTAAGTATATGCTCATCAGAAGATATTTTAATCTCACTGCAATCAATCAATTACTTCATCAATCTAATGCAGACAGTACTTATTTTTCATGGTAATTTTATTCAGTATTTTGCAGCCCAGACATACTAAAAATGCATTTTTTTTTTAACAAATGAAATCGGAACAGTCAGAAAGAGGCTGAATCTGATGGAATTTTTAAGTAAATGCCTACTTAGGTATTCAATGTATTTATTCAATAAGATGGCATTTGACAAATAAAGAGAAAAACGATATGTTTTAATCATATTCTATATTCATAGCTTAGCCTTGTGACAGAAGGTACCAAACAACGTAGAATAATACTTTTCCTTCTCTGAACCTCTAACAAAAGAAGCTTTAAAAGTTGCAGACATTAACCTTTCTGGTAACCTTGTAAAACTGCCACAATCCACGCTTTGTAGTTAAAGAAGCAAAGCAACTGAGAGGTTAAAGTCATAGCGTAAAGTGCATATAACAACTTAGTAGGCATAGTTAAGATGAATCTCTTTGTTTTACTGTTATACCTGTTGGATGCCTTCCTTGCAAAAGGGAAAATACTACTATTATGACCATGATGACACTGACAGTGATGAGAAAAATGATGATCACTACTTGAACTGCTAACAATGATAATCCTAATGATAATAGTAATCAGAACAAAGGATTATCATAATTATAAAAATTTGAGGAAATTCAAAAACTTTCATCCAAAGAAATGAAAAAACAAAAATGCCATTTGAAATAAAACTTTAGGACAAAATGTGCTTTAAAAAAAACTTATATTTTTAAAATTAGGTTATGTTGATTATTATCCTCAGGGTTAAATAAATGTGGGCAACAAGATATAAAATTGTATCACTCTTAGTAGGGCAATTTCATTTGTTCTATCTTTATTTACTAATAAGTTATAAAAGGGATTGATCCATTTTTTTCAGAACTTTGGAAGGAAAGTATAGGTTGAACTAAATGGAATTATTGTTTTTGTAGGTCAAAGGGTCAAATGTCAGCAATTACATGTGATTTACTTAATAAAACTAAACCTATTTAGTTTCTCTCTTAACACAGAGTTTCTTTAGGTCTTCTTCTCTTTTTCTATTTGTCTTCCCTACTAATCTCTTCAGGCCTATCTAACCTTCCCCTGAGTCTACTTATTTTATCTTCTAAGGTATCCTTACTTCGTGTTTGTAGCCAAGAGGGAAACATTTTTAACATTTCCTAGATTGTTGTTTGTTGGAATAGAAGCTCTAGGTTTCAGGTCTTCTTCCATTAAAATGGTACATAGATAGAATTAGGGGAATGAAAATTCATCTCTACTCTTTTGGGGTTTTTTCAGCTGGGCTTGAGAATTAAATTACCATGAGACAAATAAACAGAAGAAAAACATACAAATTTATTTAAGATAAATTTTATGTGGCATGGAAACCTACATAAAGAAATGAAGATTCAAGACACAGAGTTGAACACATACATACTGAATTGGACAGAGTATTAAGTTGTGAGAACATAACTAAATTATGTAGTGAGGCTAAATGAAGGTAAGACTTATTTTAACAAGGTCTGTATAGAATTCTGTCAGTCTTAACTTTCTGTCCTTGATGATAAAAATGCTACCTTCCTTCTAGTATAGGAAAGTCATCTTTCACACGAAAATTCCATATTTTGCGGTTAAGAAACTGAAGAAAGGTCAGAGTAATTTTCTTGTACCTGCTGTTTTCCAAGCTGCCTTTAACTCAAAATAGTCAATCTGACAAAGTAGTGTATTTTGAATGGCATGTTCTTAACTCCTTCAAAACAGAAACTACACATTAAAAAGAATCATATATAATGATCAAATTGAATTTATCCCAGGAATGCAGGATTAATTTAACATCCAACACTCATCAATGTTGTACACTATATAAACAAAGGAACAAAAACAATATGATTGTATAGACAGATACACAAAAAGCAAGTGACAGATTCTAACACTTTTTATAATTAAAAAACAAAAAAGGACCCAATAAACTAGAAGAGAGATAAATTTCTCTACCTAATAAAGGCCATTTACAAAAAAAAAAAAGATTGGATGTTTTCACCTAAGATTTGAAAAAAGATAGTGATTTCTGTTCTTGCCATTGTATTCAACATTGTATTAGAGCTTCCAGCCTCAGCAATTAAGCAAGAAAAGTAAAAAAAAGCCATCAGATTGGAAAGGAAGAAGTAAAACGATCTCTCTTTACAGATGGCATAATGATGTATATAGAAAATACTAATCAACCCACTAAAAATATTACAGCTAATAAATGGGTTCAGAAAGATCGCTGCCTCAAAGTAAATATCTAAAAAATTAGTTGTATTTTTATATACCAACAATAAAAAATTTGAAAATAAAATTAAGAAAACAATTCTGTTTTATTTGCATAAAATAGAATAAAATACCTAAGAATAAATTTACCAAAGAAGTGTAAGACTTGTACACTGAAAACTATAAAACATTTTTGAAAGAGATTCAATAACACCTAAACAAATGGAAAGACATCACATGTTCATAGATGGAAATACTTAATTTTGTTAAGATGACAATAGTTTCCAAATTAGTCTATAAATTAATTGAAAATCTTATTAAATTACTATATGACTGGCATAGAGAAATTAATCAGCTGATCCTAAAATTCTTATGGAAAATCAAAATCCCAGAATAGCCAAAACAATTTTGAATATGAACAAATTTGAAGAACTCACACTTTATTATTTCAAAGATCTATAGATCAATGACATAGAATTGAGAGTCTATTTTATACTATTTTAAAAATCCATTTTATGATGAATTGAATTGTTTTTCAATAAAAAATGTTCATAAAACAATTAAATTGGCTTTTCAACAAATTGTACTGAGACAATTGGAAATTCACATGCAGAATTTTAAACTTAGATTTTGTACTAGTCCACTCCTGCACTGCTGTAAAGATATGACCTGAGACTGGGTGATTTATAAAGAAAGAAAGTTTAATTGACTCACAGGTCCACATGACTAGGGAGGCCTCAGGTAACTTACAGTTATAGCAGAAGGCAAGGTGGAAGCAAGGCACATCTAAAAGGCGGTAGGAGAGAGAGAGAGAACGAGGAAGCACCAGACGGTTATCAAACAACCAGATCTCGTGAGAACTCATTCACTATCATGAGAAGAGCATGTGAAAACCTCCCCCATGATCCAAACACTTCCCACCAGGTTCCTCCCTCGACACGTGGGGATTAGAATTTGAAATACAATTCAAGATGAGATTTGGGTAGGGACATAGCCAAACAATATCAGGTTTCTGCCTCACCTCATATGTAAAAATTCACTCCAAATGGATCCGAAACCTAAGTGTATGAGTTTACACTAAAGTATACAATTCTTAGATGGAAACACAAAAGTTAATTATTGGGACTTTGAATCAGGCAATAATTACTTAGATATGAAACAGAAAGTATAAGTAGCAAAAGAACAAATAGATAAATTGGACTTCATCAAAATTAAAATAAAAACTTTCGTAATTTAAAGAACACTATAAAGAAAATGTAAAAACAACTCACAGAACGGGATAAAATATTTTCAAATCAAATACAGTTTTGCTTCATTGAATGAGGAGAATACAGTCTGAGAAATGTGTAATTAGGTGATTTTGTCATGCAAACACAATAGAATGTACTTACACAAATCTTGATGGTATAGCATACTACACACTTAGGCTATATGGTATAGCCTATTGCTCCTAGGCTACAAACCTGTACAGCATGCTACTGTGCTGAATGCTGTAGGCAATTGTAATGCAATGATAAGTATTTATGTAACTAAACATATCTAAATGCAAGAATGGTATAGTAAAAATAAGATATAAAACATTAAAAAATGGTACACCAGTATACGACACTTACCATGAATGGAGGTTACTGGACTGGAAATTGCTCTAGTGAGTCAGTGAGTGGGGAGTGAATAGGAAGGCCTAGGACATTCCTATATGTTACTGTAGACTTGATAAGCACTCTACACAGACTATACCAAGTTTATTAAACTACTTTATTTCTTCAACAATAGATTAACCTGAGGTTACTATAATTTTTCATATTACAAAATTTTTAATTTTTAAAACTTTTTGACTTTTGTAATAACACTTATCTTAAAACACAAATGTATTGTATAGCTGTATGAAACAATTTTCTTCCTTGTATATTTATTTTTTATTTTGTTATTTTAAAAATTATTATTTATTTTTATATTTAAACAATTTTGTTAGAAACTAAGACAGTAATACACACTTTAGTTTAGGCCTACACAAGGTCAGGATGATCAATATTATTGTCTTCTACCTCTACATCTTGTCCCACTAGAAGATATACAGGGCAATAACACACATGAAGTTGTCATCTTCTATGATGATAATGCCTTCTTCTGGGATATCTCCTGAAGGATACTCCTGGAGTTCTTTTACAGTAAACTTTTTTTTAATAAATAGAAGAAATACTCTCTAAAATAATGATAAAATGTATAGTATAGTAAATACATAAACCAGTAACACAGTCATTTGTTATCACTATCAAGTATTATGCACTATATATAATTTCATGTGCTATACATTTATACCAGCAGTCCCCAAACTTTTTGGCACCAGGGACCAATTTAGTGGAAGAAAATTTTTCCATGGATGGAGGTGGAGGTGGGGATTGGGGTGGGGATGATTTCAGGATGAAACTGTTCCACCTCAGATCACCAGGTATTAGTTACATTCTCATAAGGAGTGCACAACCCAGTTCCCTCATATGCGCAGTTCACAATAGCATTCATGCTTCCATGAGAATCTAATGCCACTGCTGATCTGATGGAAGAAGGGAGCTCAGGTGGTAATGCTCACCCCGCTGCTCACCTCCTGCTGTGCAGCCTAGTTTCTAACAGGCCACGAATCTATACCAGTCTGCAGCCCATGGCTTGGGGACCCCTGTTTTATATAATTGGCAGTGAACAGCATCATCACAAACTGGTGAGCAATGCATCCATCTATGATGTTACAATGGTTGCTATGTCACTAGGTGATACGAATTTTTCAGTTCCATTACAGTCTTATAGGACCACCATCATATGTACAACCCATTGTTGACCAAAAAGTCATTATGTGGGACATAACTGTGACTATAAGTGTAGTATCCAGAATATATAACAAATTCTTACAACTCCACAATAAAAAGACAAATAATCCAATTAAGAAATAGGCAAAGAAATTGAACAGACATTTCTTCAAACAAGATATACAAATGGTCAATAAGCACATGAGAAGATGATCAACATTATCGCTTGTTAGAGAAATTCAGTCAAGATGACAATGAAATACCACTTTACAGTTTTTAGTGTACCTGTAAGCAATATATTGTACAATGATAAGTACTGGCAAGGATGTAATGGTATCTGAACCCTCATACGTTAGCTGTGAGAATACTCAATGTTGCAACCATTTGAAAAACCTTGTTGCAATTCTTCAAAATGTTAAACTTAGAGTTATCATAGGCAATGTTCTGAATGTTATGTCCTTCAAAATGCATGTGTTGTAATCTAATCACCACCATGATGGCATTAGCAGGGAGTTGAGGAGGGGATTTTGGCTGGTCATGAGGGCTCAGTACTCATAAATGGGATTACTGACCTTATATAAGAAGCCCCAGGGTTCTTGCCCCTTTCACCATGCGAGGACTCATAGAAAAATCACTGTCTATCAACCAGGAAACAGGCTTTCACCAGATACCTAATGTGCCAGCACTTTGATATTGGACTTCCTAGACTCCTGAACTGTGAGAAATAAATTTCTCTTGTTTATAAACTACTCGGTGAATGATATTTTGTTATAGCACCCCGAATGAACTAAGATACCACAGGACAAAGCAATTCCAGTGCTAGGTATATAAACTCAAGTGAAATGAAAACATATTTCCAAACAAAAACTTTTAGATAAATGTTTACAGCTGCATTGTTCATGTTAAGCAACAGTGGAAGACAATACAAATATCTAGGAACTGATGAAGGAATGAATAAAATGTGGAATCTCTATACAAGAAAATATTATTAAGGAAAAAAACAGAACCAAACCAAACCAAAACAAAACAAAATAAAAAACAGAATGAAATTTTAATATATGCTAAAACATGAATGAAACTTGAAAACATCATTCTATATTAAAGAAACCTGACACACACAAAAAATCACATATTTATGACTGAATTTCTATGAAATGGCCAGAATATACAAACTTATAGAGAAAGAATGTAGATTGGTAGTTGTCTAGGGCTGAGGGTTGGGAGGAATAGTGAGAGACTGCTAATGGGTACCTAGTTTGTTTTGGGGGTGACATTTTGAAATTAATTTGTTATGATTATAACACAACTCTGAGTATACTAAAAATCATTTAACTGTACCTTTAAATAGATGAACCATGTGATATAAGAATTATGTATCAACAAAACTGTTTAAAATATGTAAGTTAAAAGCAGAGTTTAATCACTTTTCTCTGAATTGCTACTCTACTCTTTATTAAGAGAAGCAATCTATGAAAGAGGTTAACACAAGAATGTCAAGGAGCCTGAAAAAGCCACAGTTTGAAAGGATACTCTAAAAGCTCTCATCCTAAAGTCTTTCCAGCTTGATAAAATAATATTTACTTTTAATAATGCATTACACTTCAGCTTCATGGTATGTAATGGAACAGCAAAGCCAGATCCTTGATATCCTTTGACTCTACATGATCCATGTTTGACCATGACCTTGCACCAATTTACATGGCTGGGGTAATACATCCCATTCTGTCTCAATTATGTCAACTAGGCTTTACTGTGCTCATGACCTGAAGCTTCCAGGTTCTATTCTTATTTTTCTGTCTTTGCATGACACAAAAAATGTCAAGAAGCCTCAGATTTGCCTCTTCTGCTTGCTTTATCATATTAATATGATTTCATAAGGCTTTCTGCTGCTTAAATACATAGAGATAGAAATAATCCTTTTTCCATTTATGGTTTTGTGAAGTCTGTGACTAAGCAAATTTAGAAACTCAGTCATTTCAGTTCAAAATTTAGTCAAACCAGCTGCTTGGTCAATTAAAATCACCTAATGTCTTAGTGATATATAAACAGAGTCTAAGTGTGTTGAAACACTGAACATAGGCATCGTAAATCAGAATCTATTTTCCCTAAATGATAGCTTAATGTTTTCTAACTCCTGTATGATTTTGCTGACAGTCACATTAATTCTTTGTATAATGCTGCATCTTGTTTATGCACTTTTGCCAGCTGAATTTGCACTAGGCTCCACAACCATTAAATGTTGTAGATTTCTTAGCTATGGGGACAAAGAACTGGCGTTTGGAGAGGCAAGGTCTAATTGCCAATATGTTTGCATATGATCTTACTTCCTTGCAGATAGTCTTTTGTTTTCATTTCTATGCATCTGCAGGGATTGTATGCTTATTTTATAGTAACTAAAATTTAGTTAAGACCAATACAATTTTTAAGCAATTTCATTGTAATTATCAAAGTGTTTCTGAAAGGAAAGTAAACTGGTTACCTTAATTACAAATATATCTTCTTTCATTAGATAGATTTAATTACTCCTATTGTGACTTTTGTTAAACTACAGGAAATCCAGAACTCTAAAGAGCTTCTTGCCTATTGTTTTAAATTAGGAAAATTATTGTTATTCATATTAAATTATTTGTATTCACTGAATACTTGAGAAAGAAAAAAAATGAAATTCCAAGGGACACAATTAGAACTATATTGTAGCGTTTGCCATCAGTTTGTTGTTGCAATGCTTCCTCATTGCAGACATCTGCAAATTCCCTGATCACTGCTTCTAATTCCCTCAGCATTTTAGTACCTTATTTACTTTATTCTCTTAATGTTACTCTGGTTACAATTCTTGTTTATTTCAATATCCAATCGTTTTTTGATCACATCCTGGTTTTCTTCTTTTCTTTTCTTTTTTTTTTAAAAATTGAGACGGAGTCTTGCTCTGTCACCCAGGCGAATGCAATGGCGCGATCTCAGCTCACTGCAACTGGTTTCTTGATGCTCTTTCCACCTGATCCCATTTGCCACACTTCTTTAGTCTCCAGTACTATGGAGAAACCACAGACACTGTGAATATCAGTGGTACACCTTTTTCATCATCTTCATCTCAACAATCTACCCTCTGAAAACCATTACAGTATACTCCCTCTTCTGCCCAAACTACCACAATTCTTTGACCTCATCACTACATAAATTAAATGTCCTTGGATTCTACAAGCCTGTAGCTGTTCCTCTCTCCTCTGTATCTTTCAATCCCTTCCTAACCAGCTTAGTTTCTGTAGTCCAGCCTGTAGTCGACTAATTCCCTTGGATGTATTCTCAGCTCCCTTTGCTGCTCTCTCCTATGTATATATACCTGGTTAACCCACAAGCCTGGTTAAGTCAAATTATCTGTCTATTACATGCCCGTATTTTGACATCTGACTTGGGTGGGAAAAACACAAAGCTTTACTGATCCTATGCTTCTAAAAGAATGTTACCGTTTACCTTGCATTTAAAGGTGCTTAGAAATCCATCTACATTTCACTTCTCTAAAAATGTTCCCACACTTAAAGAAAACTATTTTATGCCTTTCCGTCACACTTCTAACATTCCATCTTTTTCCTCCATGATCACCCTGTCTTGTAGTTCATTAAGAAAACAAAAGCCATCAGAAGAAAGCTTTCTCATGTTTCTTCCACTACAAATCACACTGTATTAACCCACTTGTATCTATAGCCACGTGCTTGGTTTTTTTAAAAATAATTTCTGCTTTTATTTTGGATTCAAGGCTGCATGTGCAGGTTTGTTACCTGGGGATATTGTGTGATACTGAGGTTTGGGGTACAAATGATCCCTTCATCCAGGTAGTGAGCTAGTACCCAACAGTGAGTTTTTCAACCGTTGCCTCCCAACTCCCTCCCTGCTTTACTAGTCCCCAGTGTCTATTGTTGCCATGTTTATGTTCCTGAGTATCCAATGTTTAAATCCCTCTTATAAGTGAGAACATGAGGTATTTGGTTTTCTATTCCTGTGTTAATTCACTAAGGATAATGTCCTCCAGCTGCATTCATGTTACTACAAAGAACATAATTTCATTCTTTTTTATGGCTGCATGTTCCATGGGGCATATGTACCACATTTCCTTTATCCAATCCATTATTGATGGGCACCTAAGTTGATTCAATGCCTTTGCTATTGTAGATAGTGCTGTGATAAACATATGAGTGCATGTGTCTTTTTGGTAGAGCAATTGATTTCCTTTTGGATATATACCCAGTAATGGGATTGCAGGGTTGAATGGTAGTTTTGTTTTAAGTTCTTTAAAAAAAAAAAAAAAAATTAGAGATGGAGGTCTTACTCCGTTGCCCAGGTTGGGCAATCATAGCTCACTGCAGCCTTTAAATCTAGGACTCAAGTGATCCTCCTGCCTCAGCCTCCCAAGCAGCTAGGACTACAGGCACATGTCATCACACCCATTTAATATTTTAAGTTATCTGAGAAATCTCCAAACTGCTTTTCACAGCAGCTGAATTAATTCCCATTCTTACAGTGGCTGAATTGAATTAATTCACATTCTTATAAGCATTCCATTTTTCTCTGCAGCCTCACCACCATGTTTTTTTTTAACTTTTCAATATTAGCTATTCTCACTGGTATGAAATGGTATCTCATTGTGGTTGTGATTTACATTTCTCTGATGATTAGTGATGTTCAGCACTTTTTCATATGTTTTTTGGCTGCTTGTATTTTTTTTATTTTTGAGACAGAATTTTGCTCTTGTTGCCCAGGCTGGAGTGCAATGTTGCAGTCTTGGCTCAATGCAACCTCCATCTCCCTGGTTAAAGTGATTCTCCTGCCTCAGCCTCCCAAGTAGCCGGGATTACAGGCATTCGCCACCACACCTGGCTAATTTTGTATTTTTAGTAGAGATGGGGTTTCTCCATGTTAGTAAGGCTGGTTTTGAAGTCCCGACCTCAGGTGATTCCCCCGCCTTCACCTCCCAAAGTACTGGGATTACAAGTGTGAGCCACTGCACCCACATCTTCTTTTGAGAAGGGTCTGTTCTGTCTTTTCCCACTTTTTAATGGTGTTATTTGTTTCTTGCTGTTGAATAGTTTAAGTTCCTTAAACTATTCTGAATATCAGACCTTTGTCAGATACACAGTTTGCAAATATTTTCTTTCATTCTGTAGATTGTCTGTTTAATGTGTTTAGTTTCTTTTATTGTGCAGAAGGTCTTTAGTGTAATTAGGTCTCACTCGTCATTTTGTTGTTGTTGTTACAATTGCTTTTGAGGACTTAGCCATAAATTTATTTCCAAAGCCAATATCCAGAATGGAGTTTCCTAGATTTTCTCCTGGGATGCATATAATTTAAGGTCTTACATTCAAATCTTTAATCAATCTTGAGTTAATTTTTGTATATGGTGAAAAGTAAGTGTTCAGTTTCATTATTTTACATATGAGTAGCCAGCTAACCCAGCACCATTTATTGAATATGGAGTCCTTTTCCTATTGCCTCTTTTTGTCAACTTTGTCAAAGATGAGATGGCTTTGGGTGAAGATTAATTTCTGCTACATTGTTACGTGTGTGTGTTTTTGTACCAGTATCATGCTATTTTGATTACTGTAGCTTTACAGTATAGTTTGAAGTCAGGGAATGTGATGTCTCTGGCTGTGTTCATTTTGACTGGGATTGCTTTGGCTATTCAGGCTCATTTTTGGTTGCTGCCTGTATGTCTTCTCTTGAGAAGTGTCTGTTCATATATTTTGCCCACCTTTTAATGGGGTTATTTGCTTTTTGGTTCCATATAAATTTTAGAATAATGTTTTCTAATTCTATGAAAATATGATGTACATAGTTTGATAAGAATAACATTAAATTTATAGATTGCTTTCCAATTGCAGTCTACAGATTCAATTCTATTCCTATACAAATATGAATACTCTCTCTCTGTTTGGGTATTATGGCTATCTTAATGGTATTTATTCTTTCAATTCATGAGCATGGAATGTTTTTCCATTTGTCTGAGATGTGGAAAAAGCTTTCAGTAAAATCTAAAAACCTTTCACGATAAAAACCCTTAACAAACTAGGTATCAAAGGAGCATACTTCAGACTAAAAAGAGCAATTTATGACAAACCCACAGGCAACATCATATTGAATGGGCAAAAGCTTGAACAATTAATTCCCCTTGAGAACTGGCATAAGACAAGAATGCCCACTATCACCACTCCTATTCAATGTAGTAGTGGAAGTCCTAGCCAGAGCAATCAGGCAAGACTACAAAATAAAATGTATCCAAATAGGAAAAGAAGAAGTAAAACTCTCTCTCTTCACTGATGATATGATTCTATATTTAGAAAACTCTAAAGATTCCATCGGGGGCTTGAATTTGGTAAACATTCTGAATACAGTCAATGTATAAAAATCAGTGGCCAAGTGCAGTGGCTTATGCCTGTAATCCCAGCACTTTGAGAAGCTGAGGGGGGTGGATCATGAGTCAAGAGTTGGAGACCAGCCTGGTCAATATAGTGAAACCCTGTCTCTACTAGGGGTAAATACAAATATTAGCTGGGTGTGGTGGCTCATGCCTATAGTCCCAGCTACTCAGGAGGCTGAGGCAGAAGAATTGCTTGAACCCCAGAGGTGGAGGTTGCAGTGAGCCGAGATCGTGCCACTGCATTCCAGCCTAGATGACAAAGTGAGACTACTTCTCAAAAAAAAAAAAAAAAAGAAAAGAAAAAGAAATCAGTAGCATTTCTATACTATACCTCAATAATGTTCAAGCTGACAGCTGTCAAGAACACAATCTCATTTAAAATAGCCACAAAAATAACTACAAAAGCATCTAACTAAAGAGGTGAAAGATCTCTACAAAGAGAAATACAAAACATTGCTGAAAGAAGTCATAGATGCCATGTGATTGTTACTTTGGACATTTGTTCTCCTAACGATGGTCAAGCCTTCTACTTATGCACTAAACTCTAACCCATCTTGTCTATGCAAGATTTTGCCTCTGCAATTATCCTCTCCTTATCTTTCTATCACAAAAAGTTGTCTTCCTATCTGATCAATCCAATCAACATGCAAATATAGTGCAATATCTTCTGCCTGTTAAGAATTCCATTTGGCATCTCCACACACATTTTTGTCTGACTGACATCCTTTTCTGTGCGCAGTGCTCAGTGTGTGGTATAGTGAAAGCATGAAATTAATAAAGCCTGATTTAATTTCTGGTTTTCCACCTTTTAGCTATATTATCTTCATGAAGGCAATCAAATCTTTGAGCCTCAATTTATTAATCTATTAAATGGAATTAATGTTACCTC